>NC_000015.10:17083673-17383673 GCF_000001405.40 Homo sapiens
AGCATTCCGTAAAACTTCTTTGTGATGTGTGCATTCGTCTCACAGAGTTGAACCTATCTAATGATTGAGCGGTTTTGAAACACTCATTTTGTAGAACCTGCAAGTGGATATTGGGAGTACTTTGTGGCCTTCTTTGGAAAAGGGAATATCTTCACATAAAAACTACAAAGAAGCATTCTGAGAAACTTCTTTGTGATGTGTGCATTGATCTCACAGAGTTGAAAGCTTATTTTGATTGAGCAGATTTGAAACACTCTTTTTGTAGAATCTGCAAGTGGATATTTGGAACGCTTTGTGGTCTAATGTGGAAAATCAAATATCTTCACATAAAAACTACACAGAGGTATTCTGAGAAACTTCTTTTTTCTGTGTGCCTTCAACTCAAATAGTTGAAGTTATCTTTGATTTAGCTGTTTTGCATCTCCTTTTTGCAGAATCTGCAAGTTGATACTTGGAGCCCTGTTTCACCCGATAGTGGAAAAGCAAATGTCTTCCCATAAACAAACACTACAGAGAAGCATTCAGAGAAAGTTCTTTGTGATGTGTGCATTGAACATGCAGAGTTGAAACTATCTTTTGATTGTACAGTTTTGAATATCTCTTTTTGTAGAATCTGCAAGTGGAAGTTTGGAGCTCTTTGCACCCTGTGGTGTAAAAGGAAATATCTTCATATGAAAACTACACAGAAGCATTCAGAAAGACTTCTTTGTGATGAATGCGTTCCTCACACAGAGTTGAATCTTCCTTTTTATTGAGTAGTATTGAAACCCTCTTTTTGCAGAATAACCAGGTGGATATTCGGAGAGCTTTGAGGCCTGTTTTGGAAAAGGAAATATCTTCAAATTAAAACCACACAGAAGCATTCTGAGAAGCTTCTTTGTGATGTGTGCATTCAACTCTCAGAGTTGAACGTGTCTTATGATGGAGCAGTTTGGAAACACTCTTTTTGTAGAAACTGCAAGTGGATATGTAGAGCGATTTGAGGCCTACTGTGGTAAAGCAAATATCTTCACATAACAACTACACAGAAGCACTCCTAGAAACTTCTTTGTGATGTGTGAATTCAACTCACAGAGCTGAACCTATCTTTTGATGGAGTAGCTTAGAATCTCTCTTTTTTTAGAATCTGCACGTGGATATTTGGAGCGCTTTGAGACCTAAAGTGGAAAAGCAAATATCTTCACATAAAATCTACATAGAGGCACTCTAAGAAACTTCTTTTTGATGTGTGCATTCAACTCACAGAGCTGAAGCACACAGTGCTTGAGTGACCAGTTTTGAATCTCTCTTTTTGTACAATCTGCAAGTGGATATTGGGAGCCCTTTGCGGCCTGTGGTGGAAAAGGAAATATCTTCAAATAAAAACTACACAGAAGCATTCTGAGAAACTTCTTTGTGATGTGTACATTCATCTCACAGAGTTGACAATTTCTTTTGATTGAGCAGTTTTGAAACACTGCTTTTGTAGAGTCTGGAAGTTGATATTTGGAGGGCTTTGAGGTCTATTTCGGAAAAGAAAATATCTTCACTTAAAAACTACGCAGAGGCATTCTGAGAAACTTCTTTTTTGTGTGTGCATTCAACTCACATAGTTGAAGTAATCTTTGGATTTAGCTGTTTTGAATCTCCTTTTTGCAGAATCTGCAAGTTGATACTTGGAGCCCTGTTTCACCCTATAGTGGAAAAGCAAATATCTTCACATAAACAAACCCTACAGAGAAGCATTCAGAGAAAGTTCTTTGTGATGTGTGCATTGAACACGCAGAGTTGAAACTATCTTTTCATTGTACAGTTTTGAATATCTCTTTTTGTAGAATCTGCAAGTGGAAGTTTGGAGCTCTTTGCACCCTGTGGTGTAAAAGGAAATATCTTCATATAAAAACTACACAGAAGCATTCAGAAAGACTTCTTTGTGATGAATGCGTTCCTCACACAGAGTTGAATCTTCCTTTTTATTGAGTAGTATTGAAACCCTCTTTTTGCAGAATAACCAGGTGGATATTTGGAGAGCTTTGAGGCCTGTTTTGGAAAAGCAAATATCTTCAAATTAAAACCACACAGAAGCATTCTGAGAAGCTTCTTTGTGATGTGTGCATTCAACTCTCAGAGTTCAACGTGTCTTATGATGGGAGCAGTTTGGAAACACTCTTTTTTGTAGAAACTGCAAGTGGATATGTAGAGCGATTTGAGGCCTACTGTGGAAAAGCAAATATCTTCACATAACAACTACACAGAAGCACTCCTAGAAACTTCTTTGTGATGTGTGAATTCAACTCACAGAGCTGAACCTATCTTTTGATGGAGTAGCTTAGAATCTCTCTTTTTTTAGAATCTGCACGTGGATATTTGGAGCGCTTTGAGACCTAAAGTGGAAAAGCAAATATCTTCACATAAAATCTACATAGAGGCACTCTAAGAAACTTCTTTTTGATGTGTGCATTCACCTCACAGAGCTGAACCGATCCTTTGAGTGACCAGTTTTGAATCTCTCTTTTTATACAATCTGCAAGTGGATATTTGGAGCCCTTTGCGGCCTATGGTGGAAAAGGAAATATCTTCAAATAAAAACTACACAGAAATACTGTGAGAAACTTCTTTGTTATGTGAGCATTCAACTCACAGACTTGAACCTATCTTTTGATTGAGCAGTTTTGAATCTCTCATTTTGCAGAATCTGCAAGGGGATATTTGGAGCCCTTTGCGGCCTATGGTGGAAAAGGAAATACCTTCAAATGAAAAGCACACAGAGGCATTCTGAGAAACTTCCTCGTGATTGTGCATTCAACTCACAGAGTTAAACCTATCTTATGATTGACCAGTTTTGGAACACTCTTTTCATAGGATCTGCAAGTGGATATTTGGCGTGCTTTGAGGCCTATCGTGGAAAAGCAAATAACTTCAGATAAAAACTATACAGAAGCATTCTGAGAAACTTCTTTGTGATGTGTGCATTGATCTCACAGAGTTGAAAGTGTATTTTGATTGAGCAGTTTTGAAACACTCTTTTTGTAGAATCTGCAAGTGGATAATTGGGGAGATTTGAGGTATATTGTGGAAAAGCAAGTATCTTCATATAAAAACTATACAGAAGCATTCTGAGAAACTTCTTTGGGAAGTGTGCATTCAACTAACAGTGTGGAACCTATCTTTTGATTGAGCAGCCTAGAATCTCTTTTTGTAGAATCTGCAAGTGGATATTTGGAGCCCCATTTCACCCTATGGTGAAAAACGAAACATCTTCACATAAAAAATACACAGAAGCATTCTGAGAAACTTCTTTGTGATGTTTGCATTCAACTCACAGAGTCGAACCTATCTTTTGATAGAGCAGTTTTGAATCTCTCTTTTTGCAGAATCTGCAAGTGGATATTTGGAAAGCTTTGAGGCCTATTGTGGAAAAGGAAATATATTCACATAAAAACTACAGAGAAGCATTCTGAGAAACTTCTTTGTGAGGTATAGATTCAACCCACAGAGTTGGACTTATCTTTTCATTGAGCAGTTTTGAATGTCTCTTTTTGTAGAATCTGCAAGTGGATATTTAGAGCCCTTTGCAACCTATGGTGGAAAAGGAAATAACTTCAAATAACAACTACACAGAAGCCTTCAGAGAAACTTCTTTGTGATGAGTGCATTCATCCCACAGAGTTGAAACTTCCTTTTTATTGAGCAGTTTTGAAACATTATTTTTGCAGAATCAGCAAGTGGATATTTGGAGAGCACTGTGGCCTATTGTGGAAAAGGAAATCTCTTCATATAAAAACTACACAGGAGCATTCAGAGAAACTACTTTGTGATGTGTGCATTGAACTCACAGAGTTGAACCTGTCTTTTGATTGAGCAGTTTTGAATCTCTCTTTTTGTAGAATCTGCAAGTGGATATTTGGAGCCCTTTGCAGCCTATGATTGAAAAGGAAATATATTCAAATAAAAACTACACAGAAGCATTTTGAGAAATTTCTCTGTGCTGTGTGCATTCATATCACATGGTTGAAACTACCTTTTGATTGAGCAGTTTTGAATCTCTCTTTTTGTACCATCTGCAATGGATATTTGGAGCCCTTTGTGGTCTGTGGTGGAAAAGGAACTATCCTCAAATAAAAACTACACAGAAGTATTCCGAGAAACTTCCTTGTGATGTGTGCATTCATCTCATAGGGTTGAACCTTTGGTTTGATTGAGCAGTTTTGAGACAATCTTTCCATAGAATCTGGAAGTGAATATTTGGAGAACCTTGAGATCTATTTTGGAGAAGGAGATATCTTTATATAAAAACTGCACAGAAGCATTCTGAGAAACATCTTTGTGAGGTGTGCAATGAAGTCACAGAGTTGAAACTATGTTTTGATTCAGCAGTTTTGAGTCTCTCTTTTTGCAGAATCTGCGAGTGGATATCTGGAGAACTTGGAGGCCTATTTGGAAAAGGAAATATCTTCACATATAAACTATGCAGAAGCATTTTGAGATACTTCTTTGTGAGGTGTGCATTCAACTCACAGAAGTTGAACTTATCTTTCCATGGAGCACTTTCATATCTCTTTTTTTGTGGAATCTGCAAGTGGATATTTGGAGCTCTTTGCACCCTGTGGTGGAAAGGGAAATATCTTCATATAAAAACTACAAAGAAGCATTCAGAGAAACTTCTTTGTGATGAATGCATTCCTCACACAGAGTTGAGCCTTTCTTTTTATTGAGCAGTATTGAAACGCTCCTTTTGCAGAATCACCAAGTGGATATTTGGAGAGCTTTGGGGCCTGATTTGGAAAATGAAATATCTTCAAAGTAAAACTACACAGAACCATTCTGAGAAACTTCTTCAATGATGTGAGCATTCAACTCTCAGAGTTGAAGCTACCTTATGATTGAGCAATTTGGAAACACTCTTTTTGTAGAGCCTGCAAGTGGATATTTAGAACGATTTGAGGCCTATTGTGGAAAAGCAAATATCTTCACATAAAAACTACACAGAAGCATTCTGAGAAACTTCTTTGGCATGTGTGCATTCAACTAACAGTGTTGAACGTATCTTTTGATTGAGCAGCTTAGAATCTCTCTTTTTGTAGAAAATGCAAGTAGATATTTGGAGCCCCATTTTGCCCTATGGTAGAAAACAAAACATCTTCACATAAAATCTACACAGAAGCATTCTGAGAAACTTCTTTGTGATGTTTGCATTCAACTCACCGAGTCGAACCTATTTTTTGATAGAGCAGTTTTGTATCTCTCTTTTTGCAGAATCTGCAAGTGGATATTTGGAAAGCTTTGAGGCCTATTGTGGAAAAGGAAATATCTACACATAAAAACTACAGAGAAGCATTCTGAGAAACTTCTTTGTGAGGCATGGATTCAACCCACAGAGTTGGACTTGTCATTGAGCAGTTTTGAATCTCTCTTTTTGTCGAATCTGCAAGTGGATATTTGGAGCCCTTGGCAACCTAGGGTGGAAAAGGAAATACCTTCAAATAAAAACTATATAGAAGCATTCTGAAAAATTTCTTGGTGATGTGTGCATTCTTCTCACAGGGTTGAACCTATCTAATGACTGAGCAGTCTTGAAACACTCATTTTGTAGAAACTGCAAGTGGTGCGCTTTGAGGGCTTCGTGGAAAAGCAAATATCTTCACATAAAAACTACACAGAAGCATTCTGAGAAACTTCTTTGTGATGTGTGCATTCATCTCACAGTGTTGGACGTTTCTTTTGATAGGGCAGTTTTGAAACACTCTTTTTCTAGAATCTGCAAGTGGATATTTAGAGCGCTTTGAGGCCTAATGTGGAAAATCAAATATCTTCACATAAAAACTACACAGAGGCATTCTGAGAAACTTCTTTTTTGTGTGTGCATTCAACTCACATAGTTGAAGTAATCTTTGGATTTAGCTGTTTTGAATCTCCTTTTTGCAGAATCTGCAAGTTGATACTTGGAGCCCTGTTTCACCCTATAGTGGAAAAGCAAATGTCTTCACATAAACAAACCCTACAGAGAAGCATTCAGAGAAAGTCCTTTGTGATGTGTGCATTGAACATGCAGAGTTGACACTATCTTTTGATTGTACAGTTTTGAATACGTCTTTTTGTAGAATCTGCAAGTGGAAGTTTGGAGCTGTTTGCACCCTGTGGTGTAAAAGGAAATATCTTCATATAAAAGCTACACAGAAGCATTCAGAAAGACTTCTTTGTGATGAATGCGTTCCTCACACAGAGTTGAATCTTCCTTTTTATTGAGTAGTATTGAAACCCTCTTTTTGCAGAATAACCAGGTGGATATTTGGAGAGCTTTGAAGCCTGTTTTGGAAAAGGAAATATCTTCAAATTAAAACCACACAGAAGCATTCTGAGAAGCTTCTTTGTGATGTGTGCATTCAACTCTCAGAGTTCAACGTGTCTTATGATGGAGCAGTTTGGAAACACTCTTTTTGTAGAAACTGCAAGTGGATATGTAGAGCGATTTGAGGCCTACTGTGGAAAAGCAAATATCTTCACATAACAACTACACAGAAGCACTCCTAGAAACTTCTTTGTGATGTGTGAATTCAACTCACAGAGCTGAACCTATCTTTTGATGGAGTAGCTTAGAATCTCTCTTTTTTTAGAATCTGCACGTGGATATTTGGAGCGCTTTGAGACCTAAAGTGGAAAAGCAAATATCTTCACATAAAATCTACATAGAGGCACTCTAAGAAACTTCTTTTTGATGTGAGCATTCACCTCACAGAGCTGAACCGATCCTTCGAGTGACCAGTTTTGAATCTCTCTTTTTATACAATCTGCAAGTGGATATTTGGAGCCCTTTGCAGCCTATGGTGGAAAAGGAAATATCTTCAAATAAAAACTACACAGAAATATTGTGAGAAACTTCTTTGTTATGTGTGCATTCAACTCACAGAGTTGAACCTATCTTTTGATTGAGCAGTTTTGAATCTCTCATTTTGCAGAATCTGCAAATGGATATTTGGAGCCCTTTGCTATCTATGGTGGAAAAGGAAATACCTTCAAACAAAAACTACACAGAGGCATTCTGAGAAACTTCTTTGTGATTGTGCATTCAACTCAAAAAGTTAAACCTATCTTATGATTGACCAGTTTGGGAACACTCTTTTCATAGGATCTGCAAGTGGATATTTGGTGTCCTTTGAGGTCTATCGTGGAAAAGCAAATAACTTCAGATAAAAACTATACAGAAGCATTCTGAGAAACTTCTTTGTGATGTGTGCATTGATCTCACAGAGTTGAAAGTGTATTTTGATTGAGCAGTTTTGAAACACTCTTTTTGTAGAATCTGCAAGTGGATAATTGGGGAGATTTGAGGTATATTGTGGAAAAGCAAGTATCTTCATATAAAAACTATACAGAAGCTTTCTGAGAAACATCTTTGTGAGGTTTGCATTCAACTCACAGAGCTGGAACTATCTTTTGAGTGACCAGTTTTGAATCTCTCTTTTTGTACAATCTGCAAGTGGATATTTGGAGCGTTTTGAGGCCTACATTTGAAAATCAAATATCTTCCCTTAAAAGCTACACAGAAACATTCTCAGAAATTGTTTGTCATGTGTGCTTTCAAATTACCAAGTTGAACCTACCTTGTGATTGAGCAGTTTTGAATCTCTCTTTTTGTGGAATCTGCAAGTGGATATTTTTAGCCATTTGCGGACTGTGGTGGAAAAGGAATTATCTTCAAATCCATTCTACACAGAAGCATTCAGACAAACTTTTTGTGATGAGTGCATTGGTCACACAGAATTGAACCTCTCCTTTGATTGAGCAATTCTGAAACACTCTTTCAGAGGGTCTGCAAGTGGATATTTTAGAGCTTTGGGACAATTGTGGAAAAGTAAATATCTTCACATAGAAACTACACGGAAGCATTCTGAGAAACTTCTTTGGAGGTGTGCATTCAACTCACAGAGTTGAACCTATCTTTTCATTGAGCAGTTTTGAATCTCTCTTTTTGTAGACTCTGCTTGCAGATACTTGGAGAGCTTTGAGGCCTATTGTGGAAAAGGAATCATCTTCACATAAAAACACACAGAAGCACTCTGAGAAACTTCTTTGTGAAGTGTGCATTCAACTCACAGAGTTGAACCTATCTTTTGATTGAGAAGCTTTGAATCTCTCTTTTTGTAGAAGCTGCATGTGGATATTTGGAGACGTTTGTGGCCTATGGTAGAAAAGGCAATATCTTCAAATAAAAACTAGACAGAAGCATTTTGAGAAATTTCTCTGTGCTGTGTGCATTCATATCACATGGTTGAAACTACCTTTTGGTTGAGCAGTTTTGAATCTCTCTTTTTGTAACATCTGCAATGGATATTTGGAGCCCTTTGTGGTCTGTGGTGGAAAAGGAACTATCCTCAAATAAAAACTACACAGAAGTATTCTGAGAAACTTCTTTGTGATGTGTGCATTTATCTCACAGAGTTGAACCTTTGGTTTGATTGAGCAGTTTTGAGATAATATTTCCATAGAATCTGGAAGTGAATACTTGGATAACTTTGAGATCTATTTTGGAGAAGGAGATATCTTTATATAAAAACTGCACAGAAGCATTCTGAGAAACATCTTTGTGAGGTGTGCAATGAAGTCACAGAGTTGAAACTATGTTTTGATTCAGCAGTTTTGAGTCTCTCTTTTTGCAGAATCTGCGAGTGGATATCTGGAGAACTTGGAGGCCTATTTGGAAAAGGAAATATCTTCACATATAAACTATGCAGAAGCATTTTGAGATACTTCTTTGTGAGGTGTGCATTCAACTCACAGAGTTGAACTTATCTTTCCATGGAGCACTTTCATATCTCTTTCTTTGTGGAATCTGCAAGTGGATATTTGGAGGTCTTTGCACCCTGTGGTGGAAAGGGAAATATCTTCATATAAAAACTACAAAGAAGCATTCAGAGAAATTTCTTGTGATGAATGCATTCCTCACACAGAGTTGAGCCTTTCTTTTTACTGAGCAGTATTGAAACGCTCTTTTTGCAGAATCACCAAGTGGATATTTGGAGAGCTTTGGGGCCTCATTTGGAAAATGAAATATCTTCAAAGTAAAACTACACAGAACCATTCTGAGAAACTTCTTTATGATGTGTGCATTCAACTCTCAGAGTTGAACCTACCTTATGATTGACCAATTTGGAAACACTCTTTTTGTAGAGCCTGCAAGTGGATATTTAGAACGATTTGAGGCCTATTGTGGAAAAGCAAATATCTTCACATAAAAACTACACAGAAGCATTCTGAGAAACTTCTTTGGCATGTGTGCATTCAACTAACAGTGTTGAACCTATCTTTTGATTGAGCAGCTTAGAATCTCTCTTTTTGTAGAAAATGCAAGCAGATATTTGGAGCCCCATTTTGCCCTATGGTAGAAAACAAAACATCTTCACATAAAAACTACACAGAAGCATTCTGAGAAACTTCTTTGTGATGTTTGCATTCAACTCACCGAGTCGAACCTATCTTTTGATAGAGCAGTTTTGTATCTCTCTTTTTGCAGAATCTGCAAGTGGATATTTGGAAAGCTTTGAGGCCTATTGTGAAAAGGAAATATCTACACATAAAAACTACAGAGAAGCATTCTGAGAAACTTCTTTGTGAGGCATGGATTCAACCCACAGAGTTGGACTTATCATTGAGCAGTTTTGAATCTCTCTTTTTGTCGAATCTGCAAGTGGATATTTGGAGCCCTTGGCAACCTAGGGTGGAAAAGGAAATACCTTCAAATAAAAACTATATAGAAGCATTCTGAGATACATCTTTGTGATGTGTGCATTCATCTCATAGTGTTAAACCTTTCTTTTGATGGTTCAGTTTTGAAACACTCTTTTTGTAGAATCTGGAAGTGGATATTGGGAGCCCTTTGAGGCCTATGGTGGAAAAGGAAATATCTTCAAATAAAAACTACACAGAAGCATTCTGAGAAACTTCTTTGTGATGTGTACATTCATCTCACAGAGTTGAAACTTTCTTTTGATTGAGCAGTTTTGAAACACCACTTTTGTAGAATCTGGAAGTTGATATTTGCAGGGCTTTGAGGTCTATTTTGGAAAAGAAAATATCTTCACTTAAAAACTACGCAGAGGCATTCTGAGAAACTTCTTTTTTGCGTGTGCATTCAACTCACATAGTTGAAGTAATCTTTGGATTTAGCTGTTTTGAATCTCCTTTTTGCAGAATCTGCAAGTTGATACTTGGAGCCCTGTTTTACCCTATAGTGGAAAAGCAAATATCTTCACATAAACAAACCCTACAGAGAGAAGCATTCAGAGAAAGTCCTTTGTGATGTGTGCATTGAACATGCAGAGTTGACACTATCTTTTGATTGTACAGTTTTGAATACGTCTTTTTGTAGAATCTGCAAGTGGAAGTTTGGAGCTGTTTGCACCCTGTGGTGTAAAAGGAAATATCTTCATATAAAAGCTACACAGAAGCATTCAGAAAGACTTCTTTGTGATGAATGCGTTCCTCACACAGAGTTGAATCTTCCTTTTTATTGAGTAGTATTGAAACCCTCTTTTTGCAGAATAACCAGGTGGATATTTGGAGAGCTTTGAGGCCTGTTTTGGAAAAGGAAATATCTTCAAATTAAAACCACACAGAAGCATTCTGAGAAGCTTCTTTGTGATGTGTGCATTCAACTCTCAGAGTTCAACGTGTCTTATGATGGGAGCAGTTTGGAAACACTCTTTTTTGTAGAAACTGCAAGTGGATATGTAGAGCGATTTGAGGCCTACTGTGGAAAAGCAAATATCTTCACATAACAACTACACAGAAGCACTCCTAGAAACTTCTTTGTGATGTGTGAATTCAACTCACAGAGCTGAACCTATCTTTTGATGGAGTAGCTTAGAATCTCTCTTTTTTTAGAATCTGCACGTGGATATTTGGAGCGCTTTGAGACCTAAAGTGGAAAAGCAAATATCTTCACATAAAATCTACATAGAGGCACTCTAAGAAACTTCTTTTTGATGTGTGCATTCACCTCACAGAGCTGAACCGATCCTTCGAGTGACCAGTTTTGAATCTCTCTTTTTATACAATCTGCAAGTGGATATTTGGAGCCCTTTGCGGCCTATGGTGGAAAAGGAAATATCTTCAAATAAAAACTACACAGAAATACTGTGAGAAACTTCTTTGTTATGTGAGCATTCAACTCACAGAGTTGAACCTATCTTTTGATTGAGCAGTTTTGAATCTCTCATTTTGCAGAATCTGCAAGGGGATATTTGGAGCCCTTTGCGGCCTATGGTGGAAAAGGAAATACCTTCAAATGAAAAGCACACAGAGGCATTCTGAGAAACTTCCTCGTGATTGTGCATTCAACTCACAGAGTTAAACCTATCTTATGATTGACCAGTTTTGGAACACTCTTTTCATAGGATCTGCAAGTGGATATTTGGCGTGCTTTGAGGCCTATCGTGGAAAAGCAAATAACTTCAGATAAAAACTATACAGAAGCATTCTGAGAAACTTCTTTGTGATGTGTGCATTGATCTCACAGAGTTGAAAGTGTATTTTGATTGAGCAGTTTTGAAACACTCTTTTTGTAGAATCTGCAAGTGGATAATTGGGGAGATTTGAGGTATATTGTGGAAAAGCAAGTATCTTCATATAAAAACTATACAGAAGCTTTCTGAGAAACATCTTTGTGAGGTTTGCATTCAACTCACAGAGCTGGAACTATCTTTTGAGTGACCAGTTTTGAATCTCTCTTTTTGTACAATCTGCAAGTGGATATTTGGAGCGTTTTGAGGCCTACATTTGAAAATCAAATATCTTCCCTTAAAAGCTACACAGAAACATTCTCAGAAATTGTTTGTCATGTGTGCTTTCAAATTACCAAGTTGAACCTACCTTGTGATTGAGCAGTTTTGAATCTCTCTTTTTGTGGAATCTGCAAGTGGATATTTTTAGCCATTTGCGGACTGTGGTGGAAAAGGAATTATCTTCAAATCCATTCTACACAGAAGCATTCAGACAAACTTTTTGTGATGAGTGCATTGGTCACACAGAATTGAACCTCTCCTTTGATTGAGCAATTCTGAAACACTCTTTCAGAGGGTCTGCAAGTGGATATTTTAGAGCTTTGGGACAATTGTGGAAAAGTAAATATCTTCACATAGAAACTACACGGAAGCATTCTGAGAAACTTCTTTGGAGGTGTGCATTCAACTCACAGAGTTGAACCTATCTTTTCATTGAGCAGTTTTGAATCTCTCTTTTTGTAGACTCTGCTTGCAGATACTTGGAGAGCTTTGAGGCCTATTGTGGAAAAGGAATCATCTTCACATAAAAACACACAGAAGCACTCTGAGAAACTTCTTTGTGATGTCTGCATTCAACTCACAGAGTTGAACCTATCTTTTGATTGAGAAGTTTTGAATCTCTCTTTTTGTAGAAGCTGCATGTGGATATCTGGAGACGTTTGTGGCCTATGGTAGAAAAGGAAATATCTTCAAATAAAAACTAGACAGAAGCATTTTGAGAAAATTCTCTGTGCTGTGTGCATTCATATCACATGGTTGAAACTACCTGTTGATTGAGCAGTTTTGAATCTCTCTTTTATAACATCTGCAATGGATATTTGGAGCCCTTTGTGGTCTGCGGTGGAAAAGGAAGTATCCTCAAATAAAAACTACACAGAAGCATTCAGAGAAACTTCTTTGTGATGAATGCATTCATCACACAGATTTGAAACTTTATTTTGATTTAGCAGTTTTGAGACAATCTTTCCGTAGAATCTTGAAGTGAATATTTGGAGGGCTTCGAGTTCTGTTTTGGAGAAGGAGATATCTTCATATAAAAACTACACAGAAGCATTGTGAGAAACATCTTTGTGAGGTGTGCAATGAAGTCACAGAGTTGAAACTATGTTTTGATTCAGCAGTTTTGAGTCTCTCTTTTTGCAGAATCTGCGAGTGGATATCTGGAGAACTTGGAGGCCTATTTGGAAAAGGAAATATCTTCACATATAAACTATGCAGAAGCATTTTGAGATTCTTCTTTGTGAGGTGTGCATTCAACTCACAGAGTTGAACTTATCTTTTCCTTGAGCACTTTCATATCTCATTTTCTGTAGAATCTGCAAGTGGATATTTGGAGCTCTTTGCACCCTGTGGTGGAAAGGGAACTATCTTCATATAAAAACTACAAAGAAGCATTCAGAGAAACTTCTTTGTGATGAATGCATTCCTCACACAGAGTTGAACCTTTCTTTTTATTGAGCAGTATTGAAACGCTCTTTTTGCAGAATCACCAAGTGGATATTTGGGGAGCTTTGGGGCCTCATTTGGAAAATGAAATATCTTCAAAGTAAAACTACACAGAACCATTCTGAGAAACTTCTTTATGATGTGTGCATTCAACTCTCAGAGTTGAACCTACCTTATGATTGACCAATTTGGAAACACTCTTTTTGTAGAGCCTGCAAGTGGATATTTAGAACGATTTGAGGCCTATTGTGGAAAAGCAAATATCTTCACATAAAAACTACACAGAAGCATTCTGAGAAACTTCTTTGGCATGTGTGCATTCAACTAACAGTGTTGAACGTATCTTTTGATTGAGCAGCTTAGAATCTCTCTTTTTGTAGAAAATGCAAGTAGATATTTGGAGCCCCATTTTGCCCTATGGTAGAAAACAAAACATCTTCACATAAAATCTACACAGAAGCATTCTGAGAAACTTCTTTGTGATGTTTGCATTGAACTCCCAGAGTCGAACCTATCTTTTGATAGAGCACTTTTGTATCTCTCTTTTTGCGGAATCTGCAAGTGGATATTTGGAAAGCTTGAGGCCTATTGTGAAAAAGGAAATATCTTCACATAAAAACTACAGAGAAGCATTCTGAGAAACTTCTTTGTGAGGCATGGATTCAACCCACAGAGTTGGACTTGTCATTGAGCAGTTTTGAATCTCTCTTTTTGTCGAATCTGCAAGTGGATATTTGGAGCCCTTTGTAACCTAGGGTGGAAAAGGAAATACCTTCAAATAAAAACTATATAGAAGCATTCCGTAAAACTTCTTTGTGATGTGTGCATTCGTCTCACAGAGTTGAACCTATCTAATGATTGAGCGGTTTTGAAACACTCATTTTGTAGAACCTGCAAGTGGATATTGGGAGTACTTTGTGGCCTTCCTTTGGAAAAGGGAATATCTTCACATAAAAACTACAAAGAAGCATTCTGAGAAACTTCTTCGTGATGTGTGCATGCATCTCACAGTGTTGGACGTTTCTTTTGATGGGGCAGTTTCGAAAGAGTCTTCTTGTAGAGTCTGCAAGTGGATATTTGGAGCGCTTTGAGGCCTAATGTGGAAAATCAAATATCTTCACATAAAAACTACACAGAGGCATTCTGAGAAACTTCTTTTTTGTGTGTGCATTCAACTCACATAGTTGAAGTTATCTTTCGATTTAGCTGTTTTGAATCTCCTTTTTGCAGAATCTGCAAGTTGATACCTGGAGCCCTGTTTCACCCTATAGTGGAAAAGCAAATCTCTTCACATAAACAAACACTACAGAGAAGCATTCAGAGAAAGTCCTTTGTGATGTGTGCATTGAACACGCAGAGTTGAAACTATCTTTTGATTGTACAGTTTTGAATATCTCTTTTTGTAGAATCTGCAAGTGGAAGTTTGGAGCTGTTTGCACGCTGTGGTGCAAAAGGAAATATCTTCATATAAAAACTACACAGAAGCTTTCAGAGAGACTTCTTTGTGAGGAATGCGTTCCTCACACAGAGTTGAATCTACCTTTTTATTGAGTAGTTTTGAAACCCTCTTTTTGCAGAATAACCAGGGGGATATTTGGAGAGCTTTGAGGCCTGTTTTGGAAAAGGAAATATCTTCAAATTAAAACCACACAGAAGCATTCTGAGAAACTTCTTTGTGATGTGTGCATTCAACTCTCAGAGTTGAACGTGTCTTATGATGGAGCAGTTTGGAAACACTCTTTTTGTAGAAACTGCAAGTGGATATGTAGAGCGATTTGAGGCCTACTGTGGAAAAGCAAATATCTTCACATAACAACTACACAGAAGCACTCCTAGAAACTTCTTTGTGATGTGTGAATTCAACTCACAGAGCTGAACCTATCTTTTGATGGAGTAGCTTAGAATCTCTCTTTTTTTAGAATCTGCACGTGGATATTTGGAGCGCTTTGAGACCTAAAGTGGAAAAGCAAATATCTTCACATAAAATCTACATAGAGGCACTCTAAGAAACTTCTTTTTGATGTGTGCATTCAACTCACAGAGCGGAAGCACACAGTGCTTGAGTGACCAGTTTTGAATCTCTCTTTTTGTACAATCTGCAAGTGGATATTGGGAGCCCTTTGCGGCCTGTGGTGGAAAAGGAAATATCTTCAAATAAAAACTACACAGAAGCATTCTGAGAAACTTCTTTGTGATGTGTACATTCATCTCACAGAGTTGACAATTTCTTTTGATTGAGCAGTTTTGAAACACTGCTTTTGTAGAGTCTGGAAGTTGATATTTGGAGGGCTTTGAGGTCTATTTCGGAAAAGAAAATATCTTCACTTAAAAACTAGGCAGAAATACTGTGAGAAACTTCTTTGTTATGTGAGCATTCAACTCACAGAGCTGAACTTATCTTTTGATTGAGCAGTTTTGAATCTCTCATTTTGCAGAATCTGCAAGGGGATATTTGGAGCCCTTTGCTACCTAGGGTGGAAAAGGAAATACCTCCAAATAAAAACTACACAGAGGCATTCTGAGAAACTTCTTGTGATTGTGCATTCAACTCACAGAGTTAAACCTATCTTATGATTGACCAGTTTTGGAACACTGTTTTCACAGGATCTGCAAGTGGATATTTGGTGTGCTTTGAGGCCTATCGTGGAAAAGCAAGTAACTTCAGATAAAAACTATACAGAAGCATTCTGAGAAACTTCTTTGTGATGTGTGCATTGATCTCACAGAGTTGAAAGTGTATTTTGATTGAGCAGTTTTAAAACACTCCTTCTGTAGAATCTGCAAGTGGATAATTGGAGAGATTTGAGGTATGTTGTGGAAAAGCAAATATCTTCATATAAAAACTATACAGAAGCCTTCTGAGAAACATCTTTGTGAGGTTTGCATTCAACTCACAGAGCTGGACCTATCTCTTGAGTGACCAGTTTTGAATCTCTCTTTTTGTTCAATCTGCAAGTGGATATTTGGAGCGATTTGAGGCCTACATTTGAAAATCAAATATCTTCCCTTAAAAACTACACAGAAACATTCTCAGAAATTGTTTGTCATGTGGGCTTTCAAATTACCAAGTTGAACCTATCTTGTGATTGAGCAGTTCTGAATCTCTCTTTTTGTGGAATCTGCAAATGGATATTTTTAGCCCTTTGCGGACTGTGGTGGAAAAGGAATTATCTTCAAATCCATTCTACACAGAAGCATTCAGACAAACTTCTTGGTGATGAGTGCATTGGTCACACAGAATTGAACCTCTCCTTTGATTGAGCAATTCTGAAACACTCTTTCAGAGGGTCTGCAAGTGGATATTTTAGAGCTTTGGGACAATTGTGGAAAAGTAAATATCTTCACATAGAAACTACACGGAAGCATTCTGAGAAACTTCTTTGGAGGTGTGCATTCAACTCACAGAGTTGAACCTATCTTTTCATTGAGCAGTTTTGAATCTCTCTTTTTGTAGACTCTGCTTGCAGATATTTGGAGAGCTTTGAGGCCTATTGTGGAAAAGGGAATATGTTCACATAAAAACACACAGAAGCACTCTGAGAAACTTCTTTGTGAGGTGTGCATTCAACTCACAGAGTTGAACCTATCTTTTGATGGAGAAGTTTTGAATCTCTCTTTTTGTAGAAGCTGCATGTGGATATTTGGAGACGTTTGTGGCCTATGGTAGAAAAGGATATATCTTCAAATAAAAACTAGACAGAAGCATTTTGAGAAAATTCTCTGTGCTGTGTGCATTCATATCACATGGTTGAAACTACCTTTTGATTGAGCAGTTTCGAGTCTCTCTGTTTGTACCATCTGCAATGGATATTTGGAGCCCTTTGTGGTCTGTGGTGGAAAAGGAACTATCCTCAAATAAAAACTACACGGAAGTATTCTGAGAAACTTCTTTGTGATGTGTGCATTTATCTCACAGAGTTGAACCTTTGGTTTGATTGAGCAGTTTTGAGATAATCTTTCCATAGAATCTGGAAGTGAATACTTGGATAACTTTGAGATCTATTTTGGAGAAGGAGATATCTTTATATAAAAACTGCACAGAAGCATTCTGAGAAACATCTTTGTGAGGTGTGCAATGAAGTCACAGAGTTGAAACTATCTTTTGATTCAGCAGTTTTGAGTCTCTCTTTTTGCAGAATCTGCGAGTGGATATCTGGAGAACGTTGAGGCCTACTTGGAAAAGGAAATATCTTCACATAAAAACTACGCAGAAGCATTTTGAGATACTTCTTTGTGAGGTGTGCATTCAACTCACAGAGTTGAACTTATCTTTCCATGGAGCACTTTCATATCTCTTTTTTTGTGGAATCTGCAAGTGGATATTTGGAGCTCTTTGCACCCTGTGGTGGAAAGGGAAATATCTTCATATAAAAACTACAAAGAAGCATTCAGAGAAACTTCTTTGTGATGAATGCATTCCTCACACAGAGTTGAGCCTTTCTTTTTATTGAGCAGTATTGAAACGCTCCTTTTGCAGAATCACCAAGTGGATATTTGGAGAGCTTTGGGGCCTGATTTGGAAAATGAAATATCTTCAAAGTAAAACCACACAGAACCATTCTGAGAAACTTCTTCATGATGTGAGCATTCAACTCTCAGAGTTGAAGCTACCTTATGATTGAGCAATTTGGAAACACTCTTTTTGTAGAGCCTGCAAGTGGATATTTAGAACGATTTGAGGCCTATTGTGGAAAAGCAAATATCTTCACATAAAAACTACACAGAAGCATTCTCAGAAACTTCTTTGGGATGTGTGCATTCAACTAACAGTGTTGAACCTATCTTTTGATTGAGCAGCTTAGAATCTCTCCTTTTGTAGAAAATGCAAGTAGAGATTTGGAGCCCCATTTCGCCCTATGGTAGAAAACAGAACATCTTCACATAAAAACTACACAGAAGCATTCTGAGAAACTTCTTTGTGATGTTTGCATTGAACTCCCAGAGTCGAACCTATCTTTTGATAGAGCAGTTTTGTATCTCTCTTTTTGCAGAATCTGCAAGTGGATATTTGGAAAGCTTGAGGCCTATTGTGAAAAAGGAAATATCTTCACATAGAAACTACAGAGAAGCATTCTGAGAAACTTCTCTGTGAGGCATGGATTCAACCCACAGAGTTGGACTTATCATTGAGCAGTTTTGAATCTCTCTTTTGGTCGAATCTGCAAGTGGATATTTGGAGCCCTTTTGCAACCTATGGTGGAAAAGGAAACACCTTCACATAAAAACTATATAGAAGCATTCTGAGAAACTTCTTTGTGATGTGTGCATGCATCTCACACTGTTGGACGTTTCTTTTGATAGGGCAGTTTCGAAAGAGTCTTCTTGTAGAGTCTGCAAGTGGATATTTGGAGCGCTTTGAGGCCTAATGTGGAAAATCAAATATCTTCACATAAAAACTACACAGAGGCATTCTGAGCAAACTTCTTTTTTGTGTGTGCATTCAACTCACATAGTTGAAGTAATCTTTGGATTTAGCTGTTTTGAATCTCCTTTTTGCAGAATCTGCAAGTTGATACTTGGAGCCCTGTTTCACCCTATAGTGGAAAAGCAAATGTCTTCACATAAACAAACCCTACAGAGAAGCATTCAGAGAAAGTCCTTTGTGATGTGTGCATTGAACATGCAGAGTTGACACTATCTTTTGATTGTACAGTTTTGAATACGTCTTTTTGTAGAATCTGCAAGTGGAAGTTTGGAGCTGTTTGCACCCTGTGGTGTAAAAGGAAATATCTTCATATAAAAGCTACACAGAAGCATTCAGAAAGACTTCTTTGTGATGAATGCGTTCCTCACACAGAGTTGAATCTTCCTTTTTATTGAGTAGTATTGAAACCCTCTTTTTGCAGAATAACCAGGTGGATATTTGGAGAGCTTTGAGGCCTGTTTTGGAAAAGGAAATATCTTCAAATTAAAACCACACAGAAGCATTCTGAGAAGCTTCTTTGTGATGTGTGCATTCAACTCTCAGAGTTCAACGTGTCTTATGATGGAGCAGTTTGGAAACACTCTTTTTGTAGAAACTGCAAGTGGATATGTAGAGCGATTTGAGGCCTACTGTGGAAAAGCAAATATCTTCACATAACAACTACACAGAAGCACTCCTAGAAACTTCTTTGTGATGTGTGAATTCAACTCACAGAGCTGAACCTATCTTTTGATGGAGTAGCTTAGAATCTCTCTTTTTTTAGAATCTGCACGTGGATATTTGGAGCGCTTTGAGACCTAAAGTGGAAAAGCAAATATCTTCACATAAAATCTACATAGAAGCATTCTGAGAAACTTCTTTGTGATGTGTACATTCATCACACAGAGTTGAAACTTTCTTTTCATTGAGCAGTTTTGAAACACCGCTTTTGTAGAATCTGGAAGTTGATATTTGCAGGGCTTTGAGGTCTATTTTGGAAAAGAAAATATCTTCACTTAAAAACTATGCAGAAATATTGTGAGAAACTTCTTTGTTATGTGTGCATTCAACTCACAGAGTTGAACCTATCTTTTGATTGAGCAGTTTTGAATCTCTTATTTTGCAGAATCTGCAAGAGGATATTTGGAGCCCTTTGCTATCTATGGTGGAAAAGGAAATACCTTCAAATAAAAACTACACAGAGGCATTCTGAGAAACTTCCTCGTGATTGTGCATTCAACTCACAGAGTTAAACCTATCTTATGATTGACCAGTTTTGGAACACTCTTTTCATAGGATCTGCAAGTGGATATTTGGCGTGCTTTGAGGCCTATCGTGGAAAAGCAAACTATACAGAAGCATTCTGAGAAACTTCTTTGTGATGTGTGCATTGATCTCACAGAGTTGAAAGTGTATTTTGATTGAGCAGTTTTGAAACACTCTTTTTGTAGAATCTGCAAGTGGATAATTGGGGAGATTTGAGGTATATTGTGGAAAAGCAAGTATCTTCATATAAAAACTATACAGAAGCTTTCTGAGAAACATCTTTGTGAGGTTTGCATTCAACTCACAGAGCTGGAACTATCTTTTGAGTGACCAGTTTTGAATCTCTCTTTTTGTACAATCTGCAAGTGGATATTTGGAGCGTTTTGAGGCCTACATTTGAAAATCAAATATCTTCCCTTAAAAGCTACACAGAAACATTCTCAGAAATTGTTTGTCATGTGTGCTTTCAAATTACCAAGTTGAACCTACCTTGTGATTGAGCAGTTTTGAATCTCTCTTTTTGTGGAATCTGCAAGTGGATATTTTTAGCCATTTGCGGACTGTGGTGGGAAAGGAATTATCTTCAAATCCATTCTACACAGAAGCATTCAGACAAACTTTTTGTGATGAGTGCATTGGTCACACAGAATTGAACCTCTCCTTTGATTGAGCAATTCTGAAACACTCTTTCAGAGGGTCTGCAAGTGGATATTTTAGAGCTTTGGGACAATTGTGGAAAAGTAAATATCTTCACATAAAAACTACACGGAAGCATTCTGAGAAACTTCTTTGGAGGTGTGCATTCAACTCACAGAGTTGAACCTATCTTTTCATTGAGCAGTTTTGAATCTCTCTTTTTGTAGACTCTGCTTGCAGATATTTGGAGAGCTTTGAGGCCTATTGTGGAAAAGGGAATATGTTCACATAAAAACACACAGAAGCACTCTGAGAAACTTCTTTGTGAGGTGTGCATTCAACTCACAGAGTTGAACCTATCTTTTGATGGAGAAGTTTTGAATCTCTCTTTTTGTAGAAGCTGCATGTGGATATTTGGAGACGTTTGTGGCCTATGGTAGAAAAGGATATATCTTCAAATAAAAACTAGACAGAAGCATTTTGAGAAAATTCTCTGTGCTGTGTGCATTCATATCACATGGTTGAAACTACCTTTTGATTGAGCAGTTTCGAGTCTCTCTGTTTGTACCATCTGCAATGGATATTTGGAGCCCTTTGTGGTCTGTGGTGGAAAAGGAACTATCCTCAAATAAAAACTACACGGAAGTATTCTGAGAAACTTCTTTGTGATGTGTGCATTTATCTCACAGAGTTGAACCTTTGGTTTGATTGAGCAGTTTTGAGATAATCTTTCCATAGAATCTGGAAGTGAATACTTGGATAACTTTGAGATCTATTTTGGAGAAGGAGATATCTTTATATAAAAACTGCACAGAAGCATTCTGAGAAACATCTTTGTGAGGTGTGCAATGAAGTCACAGAGTTGAAACTATCTTTTGATTCAGCAGTTTTGAGTCTCTCTTTTTGCAGAATCTGCGAGTGGATATCTGGAGAACGTTGAGGCCTACTTGGAAAAGGAAATATCTTCACATAAAAACTACGCAGAAGCATTTTGAGATACTTCTTTGTGAGGTGTGCATTCAACTCACAGAGTTGAACTTATCTTTCCATGGAGCACTTTCATATCTCTTTTTTTGTGGAATCTGCAAGTGGATATTTGGAGCTCTTTGCACCCTGTGGTGGAAAGGGAAATATCTTCATATAAAAACTACAAAGAAGCATTCAGAGAAACTTCTTTGTGATGAATGCATTCCTCACACAGAGTTGAGCCTTTCTTTTTATTGAGCAGTATTGAAACGCTCCTTTTGCAGAATCACCAAGTGGATATTTGGAGAGCTTTGGGGCCTGATTTGGAAAATGAAATATCTTCAAAGTAAAACTACACAGAACCATTCTGAGAAACTTCTTCATGATGTGAGCATTCAACTCTCAGAGTTGAACCTACCTTATGATTGAGCAATTTGGAAACACTCTTTTTGTAGAGCCTGCAAGTGGATATTTAGAACGATTTGAGGCCTATTGTGGAAAAGCAAATATCTTCACATAAAAACTACACAGAAGCATTCTCAGAAACTTCTTTGGGATGTGTGCATTCAACTAACAGTGTTGAACCTATCTTTTGATTGAGCAGCTTAGAATCTCTCCTTTTGTAGAAAATGCAAGTAGAGATTTGGAGCCCCATTTCGCCCTATGGTAGAAAACAGAACATCTTCACATAAAAACTACACAGAAGCATTCTGAGAAACTTCTTTGTGATGTTTGCATTGAACTCCCAGAGTCGAACCTATCTTTTGATAGAGCAGTTTTGTATCTCTCTTTTTGCAGAATCTGCAAGTGGATACTTGGAAAGCTTGAGGCCTATTGTGAAAAAGGAAATATCTTCACATAGAAACTACAGAGAAGCATTCTGAGAAACTTCTCTGTGAGGCATGGATTCAACCCACAGAGTTGGACTTATCATTGAGCAGTTTTGAATCTCTCTTTTGGTCGAATCTGCAAGTGGATATTTGGAGCCCTTTTGCAACCTATGGTGGAAAAGGAAACACCTTCACATAAAAACTATATAGAAGCATTCCGAAAAACTTCTTTGTGATGTGTGCATTCATCTCACAGAGTTGAACCTATCTAATGATTGAGCAGTTTTGAAACACTCATTTTGTAGAACCTGGAAGTGGATATTGGGAGTAGTTTGTGGCCTTCTTTGGAAAAGGAAATATCTTCACATGAAAACTACAAAGAAGCATTCTGAGAAACTTCTTTGTGATGTGTGCATGCATCTCACAGTGTTGGACGTTTCTTTTGATGGGGCAGTTTCGAAAGAGTCTTCTTGTAGAGTCTGCAAGTGGATATTTGGAGCGCTTTGAGGCCTAATGTGGAAAATCAAATATCTTCACATAAAAACTACACAGAGGCATTCTGAGAAACTTCTTTTTTGTGTGTGCATTCAACTCACATAGTTGAAGTTATCTTTCGATTTAGCTGTTTTGAATCTCCTTTTTGCAGAATCTGCAAGTTGATACCTGGAGCCCTGTTTCACCCTATAGTGGAAAAGCAAATATCTTCACATAAACAAACACTACAGAGAAGCATTCAGAGAAAGTCCTTTGTGATGTGTGCATTGAACACGCAGAGTTGAAACTATCTTTTGATTGTACAGTTTTGAATATCTCTTTTTGTAGAATCTGCAAGTGGAAGTTTGGAGCTGTTTGCACGCTGTGGTGCAAAAGGAAATATCTTCATATAAAAACTACACAGAAGCTTTCAGAGAGACTTCTTTGTGAGGAATGCGTTCCTCACACAGAGTTGAATCTACCTTTTTATTGAGTAGTTTTGAAACCCTCTTTTTGCAGAATAACCAGGGGGATATTTGGAGAGCTTTGAGGCCTGTTTTGGAAAAGGAAATATCTTCAAATTAAAACCACACAGAAGCATTCTGAGTAAACTTCTTTGTGATGTGTGCATTCAACTCTCAGAGTTGAACGTGTCTTATGATGGAGCAGTTTGGAAACACTCTTTTTGTAGAAACTGCAAGTGGATATGTAGAGCGATTTGAGGCCTACTGTGGAAAAGCAAATATCTTCACATAACAACTACACAGAAGCACTCTGAGAAACTTCTTTGTGATGTGTGAATTCAACTCACAGAGCTGAACCTATCTTTTGATGGAGTAGTTTAGAATCTCTCTTTTTTTAGAATCTGCAAGTGGATATTTGGAGTGCTTTGAGACCTACTATTGGAAAAGCAAATATCTTCACATAAAAACTAGACAGAAGCATTCTGAGAAACTACTTTGTGATGTGTGCATTCAACTCACAGAGTTGAACCTATCTTTTGATTGAGCAGTTTAAAATATTTTTTTGGTAGAATCAGCAAGTGGATATTTGGAGCCCTTTGCTACCTTTGGTGGAAAAGGAAATACCTTCAAATAAAAACTACATAGAAGCATTCTGAAAAACTTCTTTGTGATGTGTGCATTCTTCTCACAGGGTTGAACCTATCTAATGACTGAGCAGTTTTGAAACACTCATTTTGTAGGAACCGCAAGTGGATATTTGGTGCGTTTGAGGGCTTCGTGGAAAAGCAAATATCTTCACATAAAAACTACACAGAAGCATTCTGAGAAACTTCTTTGTGATGTGTGCATTCATCTCACAGTGTTGGACGTTTCTTTTGATTGAGCAGTTTTGAAACACTCTTTTTGTAGAATCTGCAAGTGGATATTTGGAGCGCTTTGAGGCCTAATGTGGAAAATCAAATATCTTCACATAAAAACTACACAGAGGCATTCTGAGAAACTTCTTTGTTTTGTGTGCATTCAACTCACATAGTTGAAGTTATCTTTTGATTGAGATGCTTTGAATCTCCTTTTTGCAAAATCTGCACGTGGATATTTGGAGCCCTATTTCACCCTATAGTGGAAAAGCAGATATCTTCACATAAACAAACACTACACAGAAGCATTCAGAGAAAGTTCTTTGTGATGTGTGCATTGAACATGCAGAGTTGATACTATATTTTCATTGTACAGTTTTGAATATCTCTTTTTGTAGAATCTGCAAGTGGAAGTTTGGAGCTCTTTGCACCCTGTGGTGTAAAAGGAAATATCTTCATATAAAAACTACACAGAAGCATTCAGAGACTTCTTTGTGATGAATGCATTCCTCACACAGAGTTGAACCTTTCTTTTTATTGAGTAGTATTGAAACCTTCTTTTTGCAGAATCACCAATTGGATATTTGGAGAGCTTTGAGGCCTGTTTTGGAAAAGGAAATATCTTCAAATTAAAACTACACAGAAGCATTCTGAGAAACTTCTTTGTGATGTGTGCATTCAACTCTCAGGGTTGCTCCTATCTTATGATTGAGCAGTTTTGAAACACTCGTTTTGTAGAATCTGCAAGTGGATATTTAGAGCGATTTGAGGCCTATTGTGGAAAAGAAAATATCTTGACATAAAAACTACACAGAAGCACTCTGAGAAACTTCTTTGTGATGTGTGATTTCAACTCACAGAGATGAACCTATCTTCTGATGGAGTAGTTTAGAATCTCTCTTTTTTTAGAATCTGCAAGTGGATATTTGGAGCGCTTTGAGACCTACTGTGGAAAAGCAAATATCTTCACATAAAAACTAGACAGAGGCACTCTAAAGAAACTTCTTTTTGATGTGTGCATTCAACTCACAGAGCGGAAGCACACAGTGCTTGAGTGACCAGTTTTGAATCTCTCTTTTTGTACAATCTGCAAGTGGATATTGGGAGCCCTTTGCGGCCTGTGGTGGAAAAGGAAATATCTTCAAATAAAAACTACACAGAAGCATTCTGAGAAACTTCTTTGTGATGTGTACATTCATCTCACAGAGTTGACAATTTCTTTTGATTGAGCAGTTTTGAAACACTGCTTTTGTAGAGTCTGGAAGTTGATATTTGGAGGGCTTTGAGGTCTATTTCGGAAAAGAAAATATCTTCACTTAAAAACTAGGCAGAAATACTGTGAGAAACTTCTTTGTTATGTGAGCATTCAACTCACAGAGCTGAACCTATCTTTTGATTGAGCAGTTTTGAATCTCTCATTTTGCAGAATCTGCAAGGGGATATTTGGAGCCCTTTGCTACCTAGGGTGGAAAAGGAAATACCTCCAAATAAAAACTACACAGAGGCATTCTGAGAAACTTCTTGTGATTGTGCATTCAACTCACAGAGTTAAACCTATCTTATGATTGACCAGTTTTGGAACACTGTTTTCACAGGATCTGCAAGTGGATATTTGGTGTGCTTTGAGGCCTATCGTGGAAAAACAAGTAACTTCAGATAAAAACTATACAGAAGCATTCTGAGAAACTTCTTTGTGATGTGTGCATTGATCTCACAGAGTTGAAAGTGTATTTTGATTGAGCAGTTTTAAAACACTCCTTCTGTAGAATCTGCAAGTGGATAATTGGAGAGATTTGAGGTATGTTGTGGAAAAGCAAATATCTTCATATAAAAACTATACAGAAGCCTTCTGAGAAACATCTTTGTGAGGTTTGCATTCAACTCACAGAGCTGGACCTATCTCTTGAGTGACCAGTTTTGAATCTCTCTTTTTGTTCAATCTGCAAGTGGATATTTGGAGCGATTTGAGGCCTACATTTGAAAATCAAATATCTTCCCTTAAAAACTACACAGAAACATTCTCAGAAATTGTTTGTCATGTGGGCTTTCAAATTACCAAGTTGAACCTATCTTGTGATTGAGCAGTTCTGAATCTCTCTTTTTGTGGAATCTGCAAATGGATATTTTTAGCCCTTTGCGGACTGTGGTGGAAAAGGAATTATCTTCAAATCCATTCTACACAGAAGCATTCAGACAAACTTCTTGGTGATGAGTGCATTGGTCACACAGAATTGAACCTCTCCTTTGATTGAGCAATTCTGAAACACTCTTTCAGAGGGTCTGCAAGTGGATATTTTAGAGCTTTGGGACAATTGTGGAAAAGTAAATATCTTCACATAGAAACTACACGGAAGCATTCTGAGAAACTTCTTTGGAGGTGTGCATTCAACTCACAGAGTTGAACCTATCTTTTCATTGAGCAGTTTTGAATCTCTCTTTTTGTAGACTCTGCTTGCAGATATTTGGAGAGCTTTGAGGCCTATTGTGGAAAAGGGAATATGTTCACATAAAAACACACAGAAGCACTCTGAGAAACTTCTTTGTGAGGTGTGCATTCAACTCACAGAGTTGAACCTATCTTTTGATGGAGAAGTTTTGAATCTCTCTTTTTGTAGAAGCTGCATGTGGATATTTGGAGACGTTTGTGGCCTATGGTAGAAAAGGATATATCTTCAAATAAAAACTAGACAGAAGCATTTTGAGAAAATTCTCTGTGCTGTGTGCATTCATATCACATGGTTGAAACTACCTTTTGATTGAGCAGTTTCGAGTCTCTCTGTTTGTACCATCTGCAATGGATATTTGGAGCCCTTTGTGGTCTGTGGTGGAAAAGGAACTATCCTCAAATAAAAACTACACGGAAGTATTCTGAGAAACTTCTTTGTGATGTGTGCATTTATCTCACAGAGTTGAACCTTTGGTTTGATTGAGCAGTTTTGAGATAATCTTTCCATAGAATCTGGAAGTGAATACTTGGATAACTTTGAGATCTATTTTGGAGAAGGAGATATCTTTATATAAAAACTGCACAGAAGCATTCTGAGAAACATCTTTGTGAGGTGTGCAATGAAGTCACAGAGTTGAAACTATCTTTTGATTCAGCAGTTTTGAGTCTCTCTTTTTGCAGAATCTGCGAGTGGATATCTGGAGAACGTTGAGGCCTACTTGGAAAAGGAAATATCTTCACATAAAAACTACGCAGAAGCATTTTGAGATACTTCTTTGTGAGGTGTGCATTCAACTCACAGAGTTGAACTTATCTTTCCATGGAGCACTTTCATATCTCTTTTTTTGTGGAATCTGCAAGTGGATATTTGGAGCTCTTTGCACCCTGTGGTGGAAAGGGAAATATCTTCATATAAAAACTACAAAGAAGCATTCAGAGAAACTTCTTTGTGATGAATGCATTCCTCACACAGAGTTGAGCCTTTCTTTTTGTTGAGCAGTATTGAAACGCTCTTTTTGCAGAATCACCAAGTGGATATTTGGAGAGCTTTGGGGCCTGATTTGGAAAATGAAATATCTTCAAAGTAAAACTACACAGAACCATTCTGAGAAACTTCTTCATGATGTGAGCATTCAACTCTCAGAGTTGAAGCTACCTTATGATTGAGCAATTTGGAAACACTCTTTTTGTAGAGCCTGCAAGTGGATATTTAGAACGATTTGAGGCCTATTGTGGAAAAGCAAATATCTTCACATAAAAACTACACAGAAGCATTCTCAGAGACTTCTTTGGGATGTGTGCATTCAACTAACAGTGTTGAACCTATCTTTTGATTGAGCAGCTTAGAATCTCTCCTTTTGTAGAAAATGCAAGTAGAGATTTGGAGCCCCATTTCGCCCTATGGTAGAAAACAGAACATCTTCACATAAAAACTACGCAGAAGCATTCTGAGAAACTTCTTTGTGATGTTTGCATTGAACTCCCAGAGTCGAACCTATCTTTTGATAGAGCAGTTTTGTATCTCTCTTTTTGCAGAATCTGCAAGTGGATATTTGGAAAGCTTGAGGCCTATTGTGAAAAAGGAAATATCTTCACATAGAAACTACAGAGAAGCATTCTGAGAAACTTCTCTGTGAGGCATGGATTCAACCCACAGAGTTGGACTTATCATTGAGCAGTTTTGAATCTCTCTTTTGGTCGAATCTGCAAGTGGATATTTGGAGCCCTTTTGCAACCTATGGTGGAAAAGGAAACACCTTCACATAAAAACTATATAGAAGCATTCCGAAAAACTTCTTTGTGATGTGTGCATTCATCTCACAGAGTTGAACCTATCTAATGATTGAGCAGTTTTGAAACACTCATTTTGTAGAACCTGGAAGTGGATATTGGGAGTAGTTTGTGGCCTTCTTTGGAAAAGGAAATATCTTCACATGAAAACTACAAAGAAGCATTCTGAGAAACTTCTTTGTGATGTGTGCATGCATCTCACAGTGTTGGACGTTTCTTTTGATGGGGCAGTTTCGAAAGAGTCTTCTTGTAGAGTCTGCAAGTGGATATTTGGAGCGCTTTGAGGCCTAATGTGGAAAATCAAATATCTTCACATAAAAACTACACAGAGGCATTCTGAGAAACTTCTTTTTTGTGTGTGCATTCAACTCACATAGTTGAAGTTATCTTTCGATTTAGCTGTTTTGAATCTCCTTTTTGCAGAATCTGCAAGTTGATACCTGGAGCCCTGTTTCACCCTATAGTGGAAAAGCAAATATCTTCACATAAACAAACACTACAGAGAAGCATTCAGAGAAAGTCCTTTGTGATGTGTGCATTGAACATGCAGAGTTGAAACTATCTTTTGATTGTACAGTTTTGAATATCTCTTTTTGTAGAATCTGCAAGTGGAAGTTTGGAGCTGTTTGCACGCTGTGGTGCAAAAGGAAATATCTTCATATAAAAACTACACAGAAGCTTTCAGAGAGACTTCTTTGTGAGGAATGCGTTCCTCACACAGAGTTGAATCTACCTTTTTATTGAGTAGTTTTGAAACCCTCTTTTTGCAGAATAACCAGGGGGATATTTGGAGAGCTTTGAGGCCTGTTTTGGAAAAGGAAATATCTTCAAATTAAAACCACACAGAAGCATTCTGAGAAACTTCTTTGTGATGTGTGCATTCAACTCTCAGAGTTGAACGTGTCTTATGATGGAGCAGTTTGGAAACACTCTTTTTGTAGAAACTGCAAGTGGATATGTAGAGCGATTTGAGGCCTACTGTGGAAAAGCAAATATCTTCACATAACAACTACACAGAAGCACTCCTAGAAACTTCTTTGTGATGTGTGAATTCAACTCACAGAGCTGAACCTATCTTTTGATGGAGTAGCTTAGAATGTCTCTTTTTTTAGAATCTGCACGTGGATATTTGGAGCGCTTTGAGACCTAAAGTGGAAAAGCAAATATCTTCACATAAAATCTACATAGAGGCACTCTAAGAAACTTCTTTTTGATGTGTGCATTCAACTCACAGAGCGGAAGCACACAGTGCTTGAGTGACCAGTTTTGAATCTCTCTTTTTGTACAATCTGCAAGTGGATATTGGGAGCCCTTTGCGGCCTGTGGTGGAAAAGGAAATATCTTCAAATAAAAACTACACAGAAGCATTCTGAGAAACTTCTTTGTGATGTGTACATTCATCTCACAGAGTTGACAATTTCTTTTGATTGAGCAGTTTTGAAACACTGCTTTTGTAGAGTCTGGAAGTTGATATTTGGAGGGCTTTGAGGTCTATTTCGGAAAAGAAAATATCTTCACTTAAAAACTAGGCAGAAATACTGTGAGAAACTTCTTTGTTATGTGAGCATTCAACTCACAGAGCTGAACCTATCTTTTGATTGAGCAGTTTTGAATCTCTCATTTTGCAGAATCTGCAAGGGGATATTTGGAGCCCTTTGCTACCTAGGGTGGAAAAGGAAATACCTCCAAATAAAAACTACACAGAGGCATTCTGAGAAACTTCTTGTGATTGTGCATTCAACTCACAGAGTTAAACCTATCTTATGATTGACCAGTTTTGGAACACTGTTTTCATAGGATCTGCAAGTGGATATTTGGTGTGCTTTGAGGCCTATCGTGGAAAAGCAAGTAACTTCAGATAAAAACTATACAGAAGCATTCTGAGAAACTTCTTTGTGATGTGTGCATTGATCTCACAGAGTTGAAAGTGTATTTTGATTGAGCAGTTTTAAAACACTCCTTCTGTAGAATCTGCAAGTGGATAATTGGAGAGATTTGAGGTATGTTGTGGAAAAGCAAATATCTTCATATAAAAACTATACAGAAGCCTTCTGAGAAACATCTTTGTGAGGTTTGCATTCAACTCACAGAGCTGGAACTATCTCTTGAGTGACCAGTTTTGAATCTCTCTTTTTGTTCAATCTGCAAGTGGATATTTGGAGCGATTTGAGGCCTACATTTGAAAATCAAATATCTTCCCTTAAAATCTACATAGAAACATTCTCAGAAATTGTTTGTCATGTGGGCTTTCAAATTACCAAGTTGAACCTACCTTGTGATTGAGCAGTTCTGAATCTCTCTTTTTGGGGAATCTGCAAATGGATATTTTTAGCCCTTTGCGGACTGTGGTGGAAAAGGAATTATCTTCAAATCCATTCTACACAGAAGCATTCAGACAAACTTCTTGGTGATGAGTGCATTGGTCACACAGAATTGAACCTCTCCTTTGATTGAGCAATTCTGAAACACTCTTTCAGAGGGTCTGCAAGTGGATATTTTAGAGCTTTGGGACAATTGTGGAAAAGTAAATATCTTCACATAAAAACTACACGGAAGCATTCTGAGAAACTTCTTTGGAGGTGTGCATTCAACTCACAGAGTTGAACCTATCTTTTCATTGAGCAGTTTTGAATCTCTCTTTTTGTAGACTCTGCTTGCAGATATTTGGAGAGCTTTGAGGCCTATTGTGGAAAAGGAATCATCTTCACATAAAAACACACAGAAGCACTCTGAGAAACTTCTTTGTGAAGTGTGCATTCAACTCACAGAGTTGAACCTATCTTTTGATTGAGAAGCTTTGAATCTCTCTTTTTGTAGAAGCTGCATGTGGATATTTGGAGACGTTTGTGGCCTATGGTAGAAAAGGCAATATCTTCAAATAAAAACTAGACAGAAGCATTTTGAGAAATTTCTCTGTGCTGTGTGCATTCATATCACATGGTTGAAACTACCTTTTGGTTGAGCAGTTTTGAATCTCTCTTTTTGTAACATCTGCAATGGATATTTGGAGCCCTTTGTGGTCTGTGGTGGAAAAGGAACTATCCTCAAATAAAAACTACACAGAAGTATTCTGAGAAACTTCCTTGTGATGTGTGCATTCATCTCACAGGGTTGAACCTTTGGTTTGATTGAGCAGTTTTGAGACAATCTTTCCATAGAATCTGGAAGTGAATATTTGGAGAACCTTGAGATCTATTTTGGAGAAGGAGATATCTTTATATGAAAACTGCACAGAAGCATTCTGAGAAACATCTTTGTGAGGTGTGCAATGAAGTCACAGAGTTGAAACTATGTTTTGATTCAGCAGTTTTGAGTCTCTCTTTTTGCAGAATCTGCGAGTGGATATCTGGAGAACTTGGAGGCCTATTTGGAAAAGGAAATATCTTCACATATAAACTATGCAGAAGCATTTTGAGATTCTTCTTTGTGAGGTGTGCATTCAAGTCACAGAGTTGAAATTATCTTTTCCTTGAGCACTTTCATATCTCATTTTCTGTAGAATCTGCAAGTGGATATTTGGAGCTCTTTGCACCCTGTGGTGGAAAGGGAACTATCTTCATATAAAAACTACAAAGAAGCATTCAGAGAAACTTCTTGTGATGAATGCATTCCTCACACAGAGCTGAACCTTTCTTTTTATGGAGCAGTATTGAAACGCTCTTTTTGCAGAATCACCAAGTGGATATTTGGAGAGCTTTGGGGCCTGTTTTGGAAAATGAAATATCTTCAAAGTAAAACTACACAGAACCATTCTGAGAAACTTCTTTATGATGTGTGCATTCAACTCTCAGAGTTGAACCTACCTTATGATTGACCAATTTGGAAACACTCTTTTTGTAGAGCCTGCAAGTGGATATTTAGAACGATTTGAGGCCTATTGTGGAAAAGCAAATATCTTCACATAAAAACTACACAGAAGCATTCTGAGAAACTTCTTTGGCATGTGTGCATTCAACTAACAGTGTTGAACGTATCTTTTGATTGAGCAGCTTAGAATCTCTCTTTTTGTAGAAAATGCAAGTAGATATTTGGAGCCCCATTTTGCCCTATGGTAGAAAACAAAACATCTTCACATAAAATCTACACAGAAGCATTCTGAGAAACTTCTTTGTGATGTTTGCATTGAACTCCCAGAGTCGAACCTATCTTTTGATAGAGCACTTTTGTATCTCTCTTTTTGCGGAATCTGCAAGTGGATATTTGGAAAGCTTGAGGCCTATTGTGAAAAAGGAAATATCTTCACATAAAAACTACAGAGAAGCATTCTGAGAAACTACTTTGTGATGTGTGCATTCAACTCACAGAGTTGAACCTATCTTTTGATTGAGCAGTTTAAAATATTTTTTTTTTGTAGAATCAGCAAGTGGATATTTGGAGCCCTTTGCTACCTTTGGTGGAAAAGGAAATACCTTCAAATAAAAACTACATAGAAGCATTCCGTAAAACTTCTTTGTGACGTGTGCATTCGTCTCACAGAGTTGAACCTATCTAATGATTGAGCGGTTTTGAAACACTCATTTTGTAGAACCTGCAAGTGGATATTGGGAGTACTTTGTGGCCTTCTTTGGAAAAGGGAATATCTTCACATAAAAATTACAAAGAAGCATTCTGAGAAACTTCTTTGTGATGTGTGCATTCATCTCACAGTGTTGGACGTTTCTTTTGATAGGGCAGTTTTGAAACACTCTTTTTCTAGAATCTGCAAGTGGATATTTAGAGCGCTTTGAGGCCTAATGTGGAAAATCAAATATCTTCACATAAAAACTACACAGAGGCATTCTGAGAAACTTCTTTTTTGTGTGTGCATTCAACTCACATAGTTGAAGTAATCTTTGGATTTAGCTGTTTTGAATCTCCTTTTTGCAGAATCTGCAAGTTGATACTTGGAGCCCTGTTTCACCCTATAGTGGAAAAGCAAATATCTTCACATAAACAAACCCTACAGAGAAGCATTCAGAGAAAGTCCTTTGTGATGTGTGCATTGAACATGCAGAGTTGACACTATCTTTTGATTGTACAGTTTTGAATACGTCTTTTTGTAGAATCTGCAAGTGGAAGTTTGGAGCTGTTTGCACCCTGTGGTGTAAAAGGAAATATCTTCATATAAAAGCTACACAGAAGCATTCAGAAAGACTTCTTTGTGATGAATGCGTTCCTCACACAGAGTTGAATCTTCCTTTTTATTGAGTAGTATTGAAACCCTCTTTTTGCAGAATAACCAGGTGGATATTTGGAGAGCTTTGAGGCCTGTTTTGGAAAAGGAAATATCTTCAAATTAAAACCACACAGAAGCATTCTGAGAAGCTTCTTTGTGATGTGTGCATTCAACTCTCAGAGTTGAACGTGTCTTATGATGGAGCAGTTTGGAAACACTCTTTTTGTAGAAACTGCAAGTGGATATGTAGAGCGATTTGAGGCCTACTGTGGAAAAGCAAATATCTTCACATAACAACTACACAGAAGCACTCCTAGAAACTTCTTTGTGATGTGTGAATTCAACTCACAGAGCTGAACCTATCTTTTGATGGAGTAGCTTAGAATCTCTCTTTTTTTAGAATCTGCACGTGGATATTTGGAGCGCTTTGAGACCTAAAGTGGAAAAGCAAATATCTTCACATAAAATCTACATAGAGGCACTCTAAGAAACTTCTTTTTGATGTGTGCATTCACCTCACAGAGCTGAACCGATCCTTTGAGTGACCAGTTTTGAATCTCTCTTTTTGTACAATCTGCAAGTGGATATTTGGAGCCCTTTGCGGCCTATGGTGGAAAAGGAAATATCTTCAAATAAAAACTACACAGAAATATTGTGAGAAACTTCTTTGTTAAGTGTGCATTCAACTCACAGAGTTGAACCTATCTTTTGATTGAGCAGTTTTGAATCTCTCATTTTGCAGAATCTGCAAATGGATATTTGGAGCCCTTTGCTATCTATGGTGGAAAAGGAAATACCTTCAAACAAAAACTACACAGAGGCATTCTGAGAAACTTCCTCGTGATTGTGCATTCAACTCACAGAGTTAAACCTATCTTATGATTGACCAGTTTTGGAACACTCTTTTCATAGGATCTGCAAGTGGATATTTGGCGTGCTTTGAGGCCTATCGTGGAAAAGAGCATTCTGAGCAAACTTCTTTGTGATGTGTGCATTGATCTCACAGAGTTGAAAGTGTATTTTGATTGAGCAGTTTTGAAACACTCTTTTTGTAGAATCTGCAAGTGGATAATTGGGGAGATTTGAGGTATATTGTGGAAAAGCAAGTATCTTCATATAAAAACTATACAGAAGCTTTCTGAGAAACATCTTTGTGAGGTTTGCATTCAACTCACAGAGCTGGAACTATCTTTTGAGTGACCAGTTTTGAATCTCTCTTTTTGTACAATCTGCAAGTGGATATTTGGAGCGTTTTGAGGCCTACATTTGAAAATCAAATATCTTCCCTTAAAAGCTACACAGAAACATTCTCAGAAATTGTTTGTCATGTGTGCTTTCAAATTACCAAGTTGAACCTACCTTGTGATTGAGCAGTTTTGAATCTCTCTTTTTGTGGAATCTGCAAGTGGATATTTTTAGCCATTTGCGGACTGTGGTGGAAAAGGAATTATCTTCAAATCCATTCTACACAGAAGCATTCAGACAAACTTTTTGTGATGAGTGCATTGGTCACACAGAATTGAACCTCTCCTTTGATTGAGCAATTCTGAAACACTCTTTCAGAGGGTCTGCAAGTGGATATTTTAGAGCTTTGGGACAATTGTGGAAAAGTAAATATCTTCACATAGAAACTACACGGAAGCATTCTGAGAAACTTCTTTGGAGGTGTGCATTCAACTCACAGAGTTGAACCTATCTTTTCATTGAGCAGTTTTGAATCTCTCTTTTTGTAGACTCTGCTTGCAGATACTTGGAGAGCTTTGAGGCCTATTGTGGAAAAGGAATCATCTTCACATAAAAACACACAGAAGCACTCTGAGAAACTTCTTTGTGAAGTGTGCATTCAACTCACAGAGTTGAACCTATCTTTTGATTGAGAAGCTTTGAATCTCTCTTTTTGTAGAAGCTGCATGTGGATATTTGGAGACGTTTGTGGCCTATGGTAGAAAAGGCAATATCTTCAAATAAAAACTAGACAGAAGCATTTTGAGAAATTTCTCTGTGCTGTGTGCATTCATATCACATGGTTGAAACTACCTTTTGGTTGAGCAGTTTTGAATCTCTCTTTTTGTAACATCTGCAATGGATATTTGGAGCCCTTTGTGGTCTGTGGTGGAAAAGGAACTATCCTCAAATAAAAACTACACAGAAGTATTCCGAGAAACTTCCTTGTGATGTGTGCATTCATCTCACAGGGTTGAACCTTTGGTTTGATTGAGCAGTTTTGAGACAATCTTTCCATAGAATCTGGAAGTGAATATTTGGAGAACCTTGAGATCTATTTTGGAGAAGGAGATATCTTTATATGAAAACTGCACAGAAGCATTCTGAGAAACATGTTTGTGAGGTGTGCAATGAAGTCACAGAGTTGAAACTATCTTTTGATTCAGCAGTTTTGAGTCTCTCTTTTTGCAGAATCTGCGAGTGGATATCTGGAGAACTTTGAGGACTATTTGGAAAAGGAAATATCTTCACATAAAAACTACGCAGAAGCATTTTGAGATACTTCTTTGTGAGGTGTGCATTCCACTCACAGAGTTGAACTTATCTTTCCATGGAGCACTTTCATATCTCTTTCTTTGTGGAATCTGCAAGTGGATATTTGGAGCTCTTTGCACCCTGTGGTGGAAAGGGAAATATCTTCATATAAAAACTACAAAGAAGCATTCAGAGAAACTTCTTGTGATGAATGCATTCCTCACACAGAGCTGAACCTTTCTTTTTATTGAGCAGTAACGAACGCTCTTTTTGCAGAATCACCAAGTGGATATTTGGAGAGCTTTGGGGCCTGTTTTGGAAAATGAAATATCTTCAAAGTAAAACTACACAGAAGCATTCTGAAAAACTTCATTGTGATGTGTTCATTCAACTCTCAGAGTTGAACCTATCTTATGATTGAGCAGTTTGGAAACACTCTTTTTGTAGAATCTGCAAGTGGATATTTAGAGAGATTTGAGGCCTATTGTGGAAAAGGAAATATCTTCACATAGAAACTACGCAGAAGCATTCTGAGAAACTTCTTTGGCATGTGTGCATTCAACTAACAGTGTTGAACGTATCTTTTGATTGAGCAGCTTAGAATCTCTCTTTTTGTAGAAAATGCAAGTAGATATTTGGAGCCCCATTTTGCCCTATGGTAGAAAACAAAACATCTTCACATAAAATCTACACAGAAGCATTCTGAGAAACTTCTTTGTGATGTTTGCATTGAACTCCCAGAGTCGAACCTATCTTTTGATAGAGCACTTTTGTATCTCTCTTTTTGCGGAATCTGCAAGTGGATATTTGGAAAGCTTGAGGCCTATTGTGAAAAAGGAAATATCTTCACATAAAAACTACAGAGAAGCATTCTGAGAAACTTCTTTGTGAGGCATGGATTCAACCCACAGAGTTGGACTTGTCATTGAGCAGTTTTGAATCTCTCTTTTTGTCGAATCTGCAAGTGGATATTTGGAGCCCTTTGTAACCTAGGGTGGAAAAGGAAATACCTTCAAATAAAAACTATATAGAAGCATTCCGTAAAACTTCTTTGTGACGTGTGCATTCGTCTCACAGAGTTGAACCTATCTAATGATTGAGCGGTTTTGAAACACTCATTTTGTAGAACCTGCAAGTGGATATTGGGAGTACTTTGTGGCCTTCTTTGGAAAAGGGAATATCTTCACATAAAAACTACAAAGAAGCATTCTGAAAAACTTCTGTGTGATGTGTGCATTCATCTCACAGTGTTGGACGTTTCTTTTGATTGAGCAGTTTTGAAACACTCTTTTTGTAGAATCTGCAAGTGGATATTTGGAGCGCTTTGAGGCCTAATGTGGAAAATCAAATATCTTCACATAAAAACTACACAGAGGCATTCTGAGAAACTTCTTTTTTGTGTGTGCATTCAACTCATATAGTTGAAGTAATCTTTGGATTTAGCTGTTTTGAATCTCCTTTTTGCAGAATCTGCAAGTTGATACTTGGAGCCCTGTTTCACCCTATAGTCGAAAAGCAAATATCTTCACATAAACAAACCCTACAGAGAAGCATTCAGAGAAAGTCCTTTGTGATGTGTGCATTGAACATGCAGAGTTGACACTATCTTTTGATTGTACAGTTTTGAATACGTCTTTTTGTAGAATCTGCAAGTGGAAGTTTGGAGCTGTTTGCACCCTGTGGTGTAAAAGGAAATATCTTCATATAAAAGCTACACAGAAGCATTCAGAAAGACTTCTTTGTGATGAATGCGTTCCTCACACAGAGTTGAATCTTCCTTTTTATTGAGTAGTATTGAAACCCTCTTTTTGCAGAATAACCAGGTGGATATTTGGAGAGCTTTGAGGCCTGTTTTGGAAAAGGAAATATCTTCAAATTAAAACCACACAGAAGCATTCTGAGAAGCTTCTTTGTGATGTGTGCATTCAACTCTCAGAGTTCAACGTGTCTTATGATGGAGCAGTTTGGAAACACTCTTTTTGTAGAAACTGCAAGTGGATATGTAGAGCGATTTGAGGCCTACTGTGGAAAAGCAAATATCTTCACATAACAACTACACAGAAGCACTCCTAGAAACTTCTTTGTGATGTGTGAATTCAACTCACAGAGCTGAACCTATCTTTTGATGGAGTAGCTTAGAATCTCTCTTTTTTTAGAATCTGCACGTGGATATTTGGAGCGCTTTGAGACCTAAAGTGGAAAAGCAAATATCTTCACATAAAATCTACATAGAGGCACTCTAAGAAACTTCTTTTTGATGTGTGCATTCACCTCACAGAGCTGAACCGATCCTTCGAGTGACCAGTTTTGAATCTCTCTTTTTATACAATCTGCAAGTGGATATTTGGAGCCCTTTGCGGCCTATGGTGGAAAAGGAAATATCTTCAAATAAAAACTACACAGAAATACTGTGAGAAACTTCTTTGTTATGTGAGCATTCAACTCACAGAGTTGAACCTATCTTTTGATTGAGCAGTTTTGAATCTCTCATTTTGCAGAATCTGCAAGGGGATATTTGGAGCCCTTTGCGGCCTATGGTGGAAAAGGAAATACCTTCAAATGAAAAGCACACAGAGGCATTCTGAGAAACTTCCCTCGTGATTGTGCATTCAACTCACAGAGTTAAACCTATCTTATGATTGACCAGTTTTGGAACACTCTTTTCATAGGATCTGCAAGTGGATATTTGGCGTGCTTTGAGGCCTATCGTGGAAAAGCAAATAACTTCAGATAAAAACTATACAGAAGCATTCTGAGAAACTTCTTTGTGATGTGTGCATTGATCTCACAGAGTTGAAAGTGTATTTTGATTGAGCAGTTTTGAAACACTCTTTTTGTAGAATCTGCAAGTGGATAATTGGGGAGATTTGAGGTATATTGTGGAAAAGCAAGTATCTTCATATAAAAACTATACAGAAGCTTTCTGAGAAACATCTTTGTGAGGTTTGCATTCAACTCACAGAGCTGGAACTATCTTTTGAGTGACCAGTTTTGAATCTCTCTTTTTGTACAATCTGCAAGTGGATATTTGGAGCGTTTTGAGGCCTACATTTGAAAATCAAATATCTTCCCTTAAAAGCTACACAGAAACATTCTCAGCAAATTGTTTGTCATGTGTGCTTTCAAATTACCAAGTTGAACCTACCTTGTGATTGAGCAGTTTTGAATCTCTCTTTTTGTGGAATCTGCAAGTGGATATTTTTAGCCATTTGCGGACTGTGGTGGAAAAGGAATTATCTTCAAATCCATTCTACACAGAAGCATTCAGACAAACTTTTTGTGATGAGTGCATTGGTCACACAGAATTGAACCTCTCCTTTGATTGAGCAATTCTGAAACACTCTTTCAGAGGGTCTGCAAGTGGATATTTTAGAGCTTTGGGACAATTGTGGAAAAGTAAATATCTTCACATAGAAACTACACGGAAGCATTCTGAGAAACTTCTTTGGAGGTGTGCATTCAACTCACAGAGTTGAACCTATCTTTTCATTGAGCAGTTTTGAATCTCTCTTTTTGTAGACTCTGCTTGCAGATATTTGGAGAGCTTTGAGGCCTATTGTGGAAAAGGGAACATCTTCACATAAAAACACACAGAAGCACTCTGAGAAACTTCTTTGTGAAGTGTGCATTCAACTCACAGAGTTGAACCTATCTTTTGATTGAGAAGCTTTGAATCTCTCTTTTTGTAGAAGCTGCATGTGGATATTTGGAGACGTTTGTGGCCTATGGTAGAAAAGGCAATATCTTCAAATAAAAACTAGACAGAAGCATTTTGAGAAATTTCTCTGTGCTGTGTGCATTCATATCACATGGTTGAAACTACCTTTTGGTTGAGCAGTTTTGAATCTCTCTTTTTGTAACATCTGCAATGGATATTTGGAGCCCTTTGTGGTCTGTGGTGGAAAAGGAACTATCCTCAAATAAAAACTACACAGAAGTATTCCGAGAAACTTCCTTGTGATGTGTGCATTCATCTCACAGGGTTGAACCTTTGGTTTGATTGAGCAGTTTTGAGACAATCTTTCCATAGAATCTGGAAGTGAATATTTGGAGAACCTTGAGATCTATTTTGGAGAAGGAGATATCTTTATATGAAAACTGCACAGAAGCATTCTGAGAAACATCTTTGTGAGGTGTGCAATGAAGTCACAGAGTTGAAACTATGCTTTGATTCAGCAGTTTTGAGTCTCTCTTTTTGCAGAATCTGCGAGTGGATATCTGGAGAACTTGGAGGCCTATTTGGAAAAGGAAATATCTTCACATATAAACTATGCAGAAGCATTTTGAGATTCTTCTTTGTGAGGTGTGCATTCAAGTCACAGAGTTGAAATTATCTTTTCCTTGAGCACTTTCATATCTCATTTTCTGTAGAATCTGCAAGTGGATATTTGGAGCTCTTTGCACCCTGTGGTGGAAAGGGAACTATCTTCATATAAAAACTACAAAGAAGCTTTCTGAGAAACTTCTTTGTGATGAATGCATTCCTCACACAGAGTTGAACCTTTCTTTTTATTGAGCAGTATTAAAACCCTCTTTTTGCAGAATCAACAAGTGGATATTTGGAGAGCTTTGAAGCCTGTTTTGGAAAAGGAAGTATCTTCAAATTAAAACTAAACAGAAGCATTCTGAAAAACTTCATTGTGATGTGTGCATTCAACTCTCAGAGTTGAACCTATCTTATGATTGAGCAGTTTGGAAACACTCTTTTTGTAGAATCTGCAAGTGGATATTTAGAGAGATTTGAGGCCTATTGTAGAAAAGGAAATATCTTCACATAGAAACTACGCAGAAGCATTCTGAGAAACTTCTTTGGGATGTGTGCATTCAACTAACAGTGTTAAACCTATCTTTTGATTGAGCAGCTTAGAATCTCTCTTTTTGTAGAAAATGCAAGTGGATATTTGGAGCCCCATTTCGCCCTATGGTGGAAAACAAAACATCTTCACATAAAAACTACACAGAAGCATTCTGAGAAACTTCTTTGTGATGTTTGCATTGAACTCCCAGAGTCGAACCTATCTTTTGATAGAGCACTTTTGTATCTCTCTTTCTGCGGAATCTGCAAGTGGATATTTGGAAAGCTTGAGGCCTATTGTGAAAAAGGAAATATCTTCACATAAAAACTACAGAGAAGCATTCTGAGAAACTTCTTTGTGAGGCATGGATGCAACCCACAGAGTTGGACTTATCATTGAGCAGTTTTGAATCTCTCTTTTTGTCGAATCTGCAAGTGTATATTTGGAGCCCTTTGCAACCTAGGGTGGAAAAGGAAATACCTTCAAATAAAAACTCTATAGAAGCATTTCGAAAAACTTCTTTGTGATGTGTGCATTCAACTCACAGAGTTGAACCTATTTTTTGATTGAGCAGTTTTGAATCTCTCTTTTTGTAGAATCTGCAACTGGATATTTGGAGTCCTTTGCAGCCTATGGTGGAAAAGGAAATATCTTGAAAAAAAAAACTACACAGAAGCATTCTGAGAAACTTCTTTGTGATGTGTGCATTGATCTCACAGAGTTGAAAGTGTATTTTGATTGAGCAGTTTTGAAACACTCTTTTTGTAGAATCTGCAAGTGGATAATTGGGGGAGATTTGAGGTATATTGTGGAAAAGCAAGTATCTTCATATAAAAACTATACAGAAGCATTCTGAGAAACTACTTTGTGATGTGTGCATTCAACTCACAGCGTTGAACCTATCTTTTGATTGAGCAGTTTAAAATATTTTTTTTTTTTGTAGAATCAGCAAGTGGATATTTGGAGCCCTTTGCTACCTTTGGTGGAAAAGGAAATACCTTCAAATAAAAACTACATAGAAAGCATTCTGAGAAACTTCTTTGGAGGTGTGCATTCAACTCACAGAGTTGAACCTATCTTTTCATTGAGCAGTTTTGAATCTCTCTTTTTGTAGACTCTGCTTGCAGATATTTGGAGAGCTTTGAGGCCTATTGTGGAAAAGGGATCATCTTCACATAAAAACACACAGAAGCACTCTGAGAAACTTCTTTGTGAAGTGTGCATTCAACTCACAGAGTTGAACCTATCTTTTGATTGAGAAGCTTTGAATCTCTCTTTTTGTAGAAGCTGCATGTGGATATTTGGAGACGTTTGTGGCCTATGGTAGAAAAGGCAATATCTTCAAATAAAAACTAGACAGAAGCATTTTGAGAAATTTCTCTGTGCTGTGTGCATTCATATCACATGGTTGAAACTACCTTTTGATTGAGCAGTTTTGAATCTCTCTTTTTGTACCATCTGCAATGGATATTTGGAGCCCTTTGTGGTCTGTGGTGGAAAAGGAACTATCCTCAAATAAAAACTACACAGAAGTATTCCGAGAAACTTCCTTGTGATGTGTGCATTCATCTCATACGGTTGAACCTTTGGTTTGATTGAGCAGTTTTGAGACAATCTTTCCATAGAATCTGGAAGTGAATATTTGGAGAACCTTGAGATCTATTTTGGAGAAGGAGATATCTTTATATAAAAACTGCACAGAAGCATTCTGAGAAACATCTTTGTGAGGTGTGCAATGAAGTCACAGAGTTGAAACTATGTTTTGATTCAGCAGTTTTGAGTCTCTCTTTTTGCAGAATCTGCGAGTGGATATCTGGAGAACTTGGAGGCCTATTTGGAAAAGGAAATATCTTCACATATAAACTATGCAGAAGCATTTTGAGATTCTTCTTTGTGAGGTGTGCATGCAACTCACAGAGTTGAACTTATCTTTTCCTTGAGCACTTTCGTATCTCATTTTCTGTAGAATCTGCAAGTGGATATTTGGAGCTCTTTGCACCCTGTGGTGGAAAGGGAACTATCTTCATATAAAAACTACAAAGAAGCATTCAGAGAAACTTCTTTGTGATGAATGCATTCCTCACACAGAGCTGAACGTTTCTTTTTATTGAGCAGTATTGAAACGCTCTTTTTGCAGAATCACCAAGTAGATATTTGGAGAGCTTTGGGGCCTGTTTTGGAAAATGAAATATCTTCAAAGTAAAACTACACAGAACCATTCTGAGAAACTTCTTTATGATGTGTGCATTCAACTCTCAGAGTTGAACCTACCTTATGACTGACCAATTTGGAAACACTCTTTTTGTAGAGCCTGCAAGTGGATATTTAGAACGATTTGAGGCCTATTGTGGAAAAGCAAATATCTTCACATAAAAACTACACAGAAGCATTCTGAGAAACTTCTTTGGCATGTGTGCATTCAACTAACAGTGTTGAACGTATCTTTTGATTGAGCAGCTTAGAATCTCTCTTTTTGTAGAAAATGCAAGTAGATATTTGGAGCCCCATTTTGCCCTATGGTAGAAAACAGAACATCTTCACATAAAAACTACACAGAAGCATTCTGAGAAACTTCTTTGTGATGTTTGCATTGAACTCCCAGAGTCGAACCTATCTTTTGATAGAGCACTTTTGTATCTCTCTTTTTGCGGAATCTGCAAGTGGATATTTGGAAAGCTTGAGGCCTATTGTGAAAAAGGAAATATCTTCACATAAAAACTACAGAGAAGCATTCTGAGAAACTTCTTTGTGAGGCATGGATTCAACCCACAGAGTTGGACTTATCATTGAGCAGTTTAGAATCTCTCTTTTTGTCGAATCTGCAAGTGTTTATTTGGAGCCCTTTGCAACCTAGGGTGGAAAAGGAAATACCTTCAAATAAAAACTATATAGAAGCATTCCGTAAAACTTCTTTGTGATGTGTGCATTCGTCTCACAGAGTTGAACCTATCTAATGATTGAGCGGTTTTGAAACACTCATTTTGTAGAACCTGCAAGTGGATATTGGGAGTACTTTGTGGCCTTCTTTGGAAAAGGGAATATCTTCACATAAAAACTACAAAGAAGCATTCTGAGAAACTTCTTTGTGATGTGTGCATTCATCTCACAGTGTTGGACGTTTCTTTTGATAGGGCAGTTTTGAAACACTCTTTTTCTAGAATCTGCAAGTGGATATTTGGAGCGCTTTGAGGCCTAATGTGGAAAATCAAATATCTTCACATAAAAACTACACAGAGGCATTCTGAGAAACTTCTTTTTTGTGTGTGCATTCAACTCACATAGTTGAAGTAATCTTTGGATTTAGCTGTTTTGAATCTCCTTTTTGCAGAATCTGCAAGTTGATACTTGGAGCCCTGTTTCACCCTATAGTGGAAAAGCAAATATCTTCACATAAACAAACCCTACAGAGAAGCATTCAGAGAAAGTCCTTTGTGATGTGTGCATTGAACATGCACAGTTGACACTATCTTTTGATTGTACAGTTTTGAATACGTCTTTTTGTAGAATCTGCAAGTGGAAGTTTGGAGCTGTTTGCACCCTGTGGTGTAAAAGGAAATATCTTCATATAAAAGCTACACAGAAGCATTCAGAAAGACTTCTTTGTGATGAATGCGTTCCTCACACAGAGTTGAATCTTCCTTTTTATTGAGTAGTATTGAAACCCTCTTTTTGCAGAATAACCAGGTGGATATTTGGAGAGCTTTGAGGCCTGTTTTGGAAAAGCAAATATCTTCAAATTAAAACCACACAGAAGCATTCTGAGAAGCTTCTTTGTGATGTGTGCATTCAACTCTCAGAGTTCAACGTGTCTTATGATGGAGCAGTTTGGAAACACTCTTTTTTGTAGAAACTGCAAGTGGATATGTAGAGCGATTTGAGGCCTACTGTGGAAAAGCAAATATCTTCACATAACAACTACACAGAAGCACTCCTAGAAACTTCTTTGTGATGTGTGAATTCAACTCACAGAGCTGAACCTATCTTTTGATGGAGTAGCTTAGAATCTCTCTTTTTTTAGAATCTGCACGTGGATATTTGGAGCGCTTTGAGACCTAAAGTGGAAAAGCAAATATCTTCACATAAAATCTACATAGAGGCACTCTAAGAAACTTCTTTTTGATGTGTGCATTCACCTCACAGAGCTGAACCGATCCTTCGAGTGACCAGTTTTGAATCTCTCTTTTTATACAATCTGCAAGTGGATATTTGGAGCCCTTTGCGGCCTATGGTGGAAAAGGAAATATCTTCAAATAAAAACTACACAGAAGAAACTTCTTTGTTATGTGAGCATTCAACTCACAGAGTTGAACCTATCTTTTGATTGAGCAGTTTTGAATCTCTCATTTTGCAGAATCTGCAAGGGGATATTTGGAGCCCTTTGCGGCCTATGGTGGAAAAGGAAATACCTTCAAATGAAAAGCACACAGAGGCATTCTGAGAAACTTCCTCGTGATTGTGCATTCAACTCACAGAAGTTAAACCTATCTTATGATTGACCAGTTTTGGAACACTCTTTTCATAGGATCTGCAAGTGGATATTTGGCGTGCTTTGAGGCCTATCGTGGAAAAGCAAATAACTTCAGATAAAAACTATACAGAAGCATTCTGAGAAACTTCTTTGTGATGTGTGCATTGATCTCACAGAGTTGAAAGTGTATTTTGATTGAGCAGTTTTGAAACACTCTTTTTGTAGAATCTGCAAGTGGATAATTGGGGAGATTTGAGGTATATTGTGGAAAAGCAAGTATCTTCATATAAAAACTATACAGAAGCTTTCTGAGAAACATCTTTGTGAGGTTTGCATTCAACTCACAGAGCTGGAACTATCTTTTGAGTGACCAGTTTTGAATCTCTCTTTTTGTACAATCTGCAAGTGGATATTTGGAGCGTTTTGAGGCCTACATTTGAAAATCAAATATCTTCCCTTAAAAGCTACACAGAAACATTCTCAGAAATTGTTTGTCATGTGTGCTTTCAAATTACCAAGTTGAACCTACCTTGTGATTGAGCAGTTTTGAATCTCTCTTTTTGTGGAATCTGCAAGTGGATATTTTTAGCCATTTGCGGACTGTGGTGGAAAAGGAATTATCTTCAAATCCATTCTACACAGAAGCATTCAGACAAACTTTTTGTGATGAGTGCATTGGTCACACAGAATTGAACCTCTCCTTTGATTGAGCAATTCTGAAACACTCTTTCAGAGGGTCTGCAAGTGGATATTTTAGAGCTTTGGGACAATTGTGGAAAAGTAAATATCTTCACATAGAAACTACACGGAAAGCATTCTGAGAAACTTCTTTGGAGGTGTGCATTCAACTCACAGAGTTGAACCTATCTTTTCATTGAGCAGTTTTGAATCTCTCTTTTTGTAGACTCTGCTTGCAGATACTTGGAGAGCTTTGAGGCCTATTGTGGAAAAGGAATCATCTTCACATAAAAACACACAGAAGCACTCTGAGAAACTTCTTTGTGAAGTGTGCATTCAACTCACAGAGTTGAACCTATCTTTTGATTGAGAAGCTTTGAATCTCTCTTTTTGTAGAAGCTGCATGTGGATATTTGGAGACGTTTGTGGCCTATGGTAGAAAAGGCAATATCTTCAAATAAAAACTAGACAGAAGCATTTTGAGAAATTTCTCTGTGCTGTGTGCATTCATATCACATGGTTGAAACTACCTTTTGGTTGAGCAGTTTTGAATCTCTCTTTTTGTAACATCTGCAATGGATATTTGGAGCCCTTTGTGGTCTGTGGTGGAAAAGGAACTATCCTCAAATAAAAACTACACAGAAGTATTCCGAGAAACTTCCTTGTGATGTGTGCATTCATCTCACAGGGTTGAACCTTTGGTTTGATTGAGCAGTTTTGAGACAATCTTTCCATAGAATCTGGAAGTGAATATTTGGAGAACCTTGAGATCTATTTTGGAGAAGGAGATATCTTTATATGAAAACTGCACAGAAGCATTCTGAGAAACATCTTTGTGAGGTGTGCAATGAAGTCACAGAGTTGAAACTATGTTTTGATTCAGCAGTTTTGAGTCTCTCTTTTTGCAGAATCTGCGAGTGGATATCTGGAGAACTTGGAGGCCTATTTGGAAAAGGAAATATCTTCACATATAAACTATGCAGAAGCATTTTGAGATACTTCTTTGTGAGGTGTGCATTCAACTCACAGAAGTTGAACTTATCTTTCCATGGAGCACTTTCATATCTCTTTTTTTGTGGAATCTGCAAGTGGATATTTGGAGCTCTTTGCACCCTGTGGTGGAAAGGGAAATATCTTCATATAAAAACTACAAAGAAGCATTCAGAGAAACTTCTTTGTGATGAATGCATTCCTCACACAGAGTTGAGCCTTTCTTTTTATTGAGCAGTATTGAAACGCTCTTTTTGCAGAATCACCAAGTGGATATTTGGAGAGCTTTGGGGCCTGATTTGGAAAATGAAATATCTTCAAAGTAAAACTACACAGAACCATTCTGAGAAACTTCTTCATGATGTGAGCATTCAACTCTCAGAGTTGAAGCTACCTTATGATTGAGCAATTTGGAAACACTCTTTTTGTAGAGCCTGCAAGTGGATATTTAGAACGATTTGAGGCCTATTGTGGAAAAGCAAATATCTTCACATAAAAACTACACAGAAGCATTCTCAGAGACTTCTTTGGGATGTGTGCATTCAACTAACAGTGTTGAACCTATCTTTTGATTGAGCAGCTTAGAATCTCTCCTTTTGTAGAAAATGCAAGTAGAGATTTGGAGCCCCATTTCGCCCTATGGTAGAAAACAGAACATCTTCACATAAAAACTACGCAGAAGCATTCTGAGAAACTTCTTTGTGATGTTTGCATTGAACTCCCAGAGTCGAACCTATCTTTTGATAGAGCAGTTTTGTATCTCTCTTTTTGCAGAATCTGCAAGTGGATATTTGGAAAGCTTGAGGCCTATTGTGAAAAAGGAAATATCTTCACATAGAAACTACAGAGAAGCATTCTGAGAAACTTCTCTGTGAGGCATGGATTCAACCCACAGAGTTGGACTTATCATTGAGCAGTTTTGAATCTCTCTTTTGGTCGAATCTGCAAGTGGATATTTGGAGCCCTTTTGCAACCTATGGTGGAAAAGGAAACACCTTCACATAAAAACTATATAGAAGCATTCTGAGAAACTTCTTTGTGATGTGTGCATGCATCTCACACTGTTGGACGTTTCTTTTGATAGGGCAGTTTCGAAAGAGTCTTCTTGTAGAGTCTGCAAGTGGATATTTGGAGCGCTTTGAGGCCTAATGTGGAAAATCAAATATCTTCACATAAAAACTACACAGAGGCATTCTGAGAAACTTCTTTTTTGTGTGTGCATTCAACTCACATAGTTGAAGTAATCTTTGGATTTAGCTGTTTTGAATCTCCTTTTTGCAGAATCTGCAAGTTGATACTTGGAGCCCTGTTTCACCCTATAGTGGAAAAGCAAATGTCTTCACATAAACAAACCCTACAGAGAAGCATTCAGAGAAAGTCCTTTGTGATGTGTGCATTGAACATGCAGAGTTGACACTATCTTTTGATTGTACAGTTTTGAATACGTCTTTTTGTAGAATCTGCAAGTGGAAGTTTGGAGCTGTTTGCACCCTGTGGTGTAAAAGGAAATATCTTCATATAAAAGCTACACAGAAGCATTCAGAAAGACTTCTTTGTGATGAATGCGTTCCTCACACAGAGTTGAATCTTCCTTTTTATTGAGTAGTATTGAAACCCTCTTTTTGCAGAATAACCAGGTGGATATTTGGAGAGCTTTGAGGCCTGTTTTGGAAAAGCAAATATCTTCAAATTAAAACCACACAGAAGCATTCTGAGAAGCTTCTTTGTGATGTGTGCATTCAACTCTCAGAGTTCAACGTGTCTTATGATGGAGCAGTTTGGAAACACTCTTTTTTGTAGAAACTGCAAGTGGATATGTAGAGCGATTTGAGGCCTACTGTGGAAAAGCAAATATCTTCACATAACAACTACACAGAAGCACTCCTAGAAACTTCTTTGTGATGTGTGAATTCAACTCACAGAGCTGAACCTATCTTTTGATGGAGTAGCTTAGAATCTCTCTTTTTTTAGAATCTGCACGTGGATATTTGGAGCGCTTTGAGACCTAAAGTGGAAAAGCAAATATCTTCACATAAAATCTACATAGAGGCACTCTAAGAAACTTCTTTTTGATGTGTGCATTCACCTCACAGAGCTGAACCGATCCTTCGAGTGACCAGTTTTGAATCTCTCTTTTTATACAATCTGCAAGTGGATATTTGGAGCCCTTTGCGGCCTATGGTGGAAAAGGAAATATCTTCAAATAAAAACTACACAGAAATACTGTGAGAAACTTCTTTGTTATGTGAGCATTCAACTCACAGAGTTGAACCTATCTTTTGATTGAGCAGTTTTGAATCTCTCATTTTGCAGAATCTGCAAGGGGATATTTGGAGCCCTTTGCGGCCTATGGTGGAAAAGGAAATACCTTCAAATGAAAAGCACACAGAGGCATTCTGAGAAACTTCCTCGTGATTGTGCATTCAACTCACAGAGTTAAACCTATCTTATGATTGACCAGTTTTGGAACACTCTTTTCATAGGATCTGCAAGTGGATATTTGGCGTGCTTTGAGGCCTATCGTGGAAAAGCAAATAACTTCAGATAAAAACTATACAGAAGCATTCTGAGAAACTTCTTTGTGATGTGTGCATTGATCTCACAGAGTTGAAAGTGTATTTTGATTGAGCAGTTTTGAAACACTCTTTTTGTAGAATCTGCAAGTGGATAATTGGGGAGATTTGAGGTATATTGTGGAAAAGCAAGTATCTTCATATAAAAACTATACAGAAGCTTTCTGAGAAACCTCTTTGTGAGGTTTGCATTCAACTCACAGAGCTGGAACTATCTTTTGAGTGACCAGTTTTGAATCTCTCTTTTTGTACAATCTGCAAGTGGATATTTGGAGCGTTTTGAGGCCTACATTTGAAAATCAAATATCTTCCCTTAAAAGCTACACAGAAACATTCTCAGAAATTGTTTGTCATGTGTGCTTTCAAATTACCAAGTTGAACCTACCTTGTGATTGAGCAGTTTTGAATCTCTCTTTTTGTGGAATCTGCAAGTGGATATTTTTAGCCATTTGCGGACTGTGGTGGAAAAGGAATTATCTTCAAATCCATTCTACACAGAAGCATTCAGACAAACTTTTTGTGATGAGTGCATTGGTCACACAGAATTGAACCTCTCCTTTGATTGAGCAATTCTGAAACACTCTTTCAGAGGGTCTGCAAGTGGATATTTTAGAGCTTTGGGACAATTGTGGAAAAGTAAATATCTTCACATAGAAACTACACGGAAGCATTCTGAGAAACTTCTTTGGAGGTGTGCATTCAACTCACAGAGTTGAACCTATCTTTTCATTGAGCAGTTTTGAATCTCTCTTTTTGTAGACTCTGCTTGCAGATACTTGGAGAGCTTTGAGGCCTATTGTGGAAAAGGAATCATCTTCACATAAAAACACACAGAAGCACTCTGAGAAACTTCTTTGTGAAGTGTGCATTCAACTCACAGAGTTGAACCTATCTTTTGATTGAGAAGCTTTGAATCTCTCTTTTTGTAGAAGCTGCATGTGGATATTTGGAGACGTTTGTGGCCTATGGTAGAAAAGGCAATATCTTCAAATAAAAACTAGACAGAAGCATTTTGAGAAATTTCTCTGTGCTGTGTGCATTCATATCACATGGTTGAAACTACCTTTTGGTTGAGCAGTTTTGAATCTCTCTTTTTGTAACATCTGCAATGGATATTTGGAGCCCTTTGTGGTCTGTGGTGGAAAAGGAACTATCCTCAAATAAAAACTACACAGAAGTATTCCGAGAAACTTCCTTGTGATGTGTGCATTCATCTCACAGGGTTGAACCTTTGGTTTGATTGAGCAGTTTTGAGACAATCTTTCCATAGAATCTGGAAGTGAATATTTGGAGAACCTTGAGATCTATTTTGGAGAAGGAGATATCTTTATATGAAAACTGCACAGAAGCATTCTGAGAAACATCTTTGTGAGGTGTGCAATGAAGTCACAGAGTTGAAACTATGTTTTGATTCAGCAGTTTTGAGTCTCTCTTTTTGCAGAATCTGCGAGTGGATATCTGGAGAACTTGGAGGCCTATTTGGAAAAGGAAATATCTTCACATATAAACTATGCAGAAGCATTTTGAGATTCTTCTTTGTGAGGTGTGCATTCAACTCACAGAGTTGAACTTATCTTTTCCTTGAGCACTTTCATATCTCATTTTCTGTAGAATCTGCAAGTGGATATTTGGAGCTCTTTGCACCCTGTGGTGGAAAGGGAACTATCTTCATATAAAAACTACAAAGAAGCATTCAGAGAAACTTCTTGTGATGAATGCATTCCTCACACAGAGCTGAACCTTTCTTTTTATGGAGCAGTATTGAAACGCTCTTTTTGCAGAATCACCAAGTGGATATTTGGAGAGCTTTGGGGCCTGTTTTGGAAAATGAAATATCTTCAAAGTAAAACTACACAGAACCATTCTGAGAAACTTCTTTATGATGTGTGCATTCAACTCTCAGAGTTGAACCTACCTTATGATTGAGCAATTTGGAAACACTCTCTTTGTAGAGCCTGCAAGTGGATATTTAGAACGATTTGAGGCCTATTGTGGAAAAGCAAATATCTTCACATAAAAACTACACAGAAGCATTCTGAGAAACTTCTTTGGCATGTGTGCATTCAACTAACAGTGTTGAACGTATCTTTTGATTGAGCAGCTTAGAATCTCTCTTTTTGTAGAAAATGCAAGTAGATATTTGGAGCCCCATTTTGCCCTATGGTAGAAAACAAAACATCTTCACATAAAATCTACACAGAAGCATTCTGAGAAACTTCTTTGTGATGTTTGCATTGAACTCCCAGAGTCGAACCTATCTTTTGATAGAGCACTTTTGTATCTCTCTTTTTGCGGAATCTGCAAGTGGATATTTGGAAAGCTTGAGGCCTATTGTGAAAAAGGAAATATCTTCACATAAAAACTACAGAGAAGCATTCTGAGAAACTTCTTTGTGAGGCATGGATTCAACCCACAGAGTTGGACTTGTCATTGAGCAGTTTTGAATCTCTCTTTTTGTCGAATCTGCAAGTGGATATTTGGAGCCCTTTGCAACCTAGGGTGGAAAAGGAAATACCTTCAAATAAAAACTATATAGAAGCATTCCGTAAAACTTCTTTGTGACGTGTGCATTCGTCTCACAGAGTTGAACCTATCTAATGATTGAGCGGTTTTGAAACACTCATTTTGTAGAACCTGCAAGTGGATATTGGGAGTACTTTGTGGCCTTCTTTGGAAAAGGGAATATCTTCACATAAAAATTACAAAGAAGCATTCTGAGAAACTTCTTTGTGATGTGTGCATTCATCTCACAGTGTTGGACGTTTCTTTTGATAGGGCAGTTTTGAAACACTCTTTTTCTAGAATCTGCAAGTGGATATTTAGAGCGCTTTGAGGCCTAATGTGGAAAATCAAATATCTTCACATAAAAACTACACAGAGGCATTCTGAGAAACTTCTTTTTTGTGTGTGCATTCAACTCACATAGTTGAAGTAATCTTTGGATTTAGCTGTTTTGAATCTCCTTTTTGCAGAATCTGCAAGTTGATACTTGGAGCCCTGTTTCACCCTATAGTGGAAAAGCAAATATCTTCACATAAACAAACCCTACAGAGAAGCATTCAGAGAAAGTCCTTTGTGATGTGTGCATTGAACATGCAGAGTTGACACTATCTTTTGATTGTACAGTTTTGAATACGTCTTTTTGTAGAATCTGCAAGTGGAAGTTTGGAGCTGTTTGCACCCTGTGGTGTAAAAGGAAATATCTTCATATAAAAGCTACACAGAAGCATTCAGAAAGACTTCTTTGTGATGAATGCGTTCCTCACACAGAGTTGAATCTTCCTTTTTATTGAGTAGTATTGAAACCCTCTTTTTGCAGAATAACCAGGTGGATATTTGGAGAGCTTTGAAGCCTGTTTTGGAAAAGGAAATATCTTCAAATTAAAACCACACAGAAGCATTCTGAGAAGCTTCTTTGTGATGTGTGCATTCAACTCTCAGAGTTCAACGTGTCTTATGATGGAGCAGTTTGGAAACACTCTTTTTGTAGAAACTGCAAGTGGATATGTAGAGCGATTTGAGGCCTACTGTGGAAAAGCAAATATCTTCACATAACAACTACACAGAAGCACTCCTAGAAACTTCTTTGTGATGTGTGAATTCAACTCACAGAGCTGAACCTATCTTTTGATGGAGTAGCTTAGAATCTCTCTTTTTTTAGAATCTGCACGTGGATATTTGGAGCGCTTTGAGACCTAAAGTGGAAAAGCAAATATCTTCACATAAAATCTACATAGAGGCACTCTAAGAAACTTCTTTTTGATGTGTGCATTCACCTCACAGAGCTGAACCGATCCTTCGAGTGACCAGTTTTGAATCTCTCTTTTTATACAATCTGCAAGTGGATATTTGGAGCCCTTTGCGGCCTATGGTGGAAAAGGAAATATCTTCAAATAAAAACTACACAGAAGAAACTTCTTTGTTATGTGAGCATTCAACTCACAGACTTGAACCTATCTTTTGATTGAGCAGTTTTGAATCTCTCATTTTGCAGAATCTGCAAGGGGATATTTGGAGCCCTTTGCGGCCTATGGTGGAAAAGGAAATACCTTCAAATGAAAAGCACACAGAGGCATTCTGAGAAACTTCTTGTGATTGTGCATTCAACTCACAGAGTTAAACCTATCTTATGATTGACCAGTTTTGGAACACTGTTTTCATAGGATTTGCAAGTGGATATTTGGTGTGCTTTGAGGCCTATCGTGGAAAAGCAAGTAACTTCAGATAAAAACTATACAGAAGCATTCTGAGAAACTTCTTTGTGATGTGTGCATTGATCTCACAGAGTTGAAAGTGTATTTTGATTGAGCAGTTTTAAAACACTCCTTCTGTAGAATCTGCAAGTGGATAATTGGAGAGATTTGAGGTATGTTGTGGAAAAGCAAATATCTTCATATAAAAACTATACAGAAGCCTTCTGAGAAACATCTTTGTGAGGTTTGCATTCAACTCACAGAGCTGGACCTATCTCTTGAGTGACCAGTTTTGAATCTCTCTTTTTGTTCAATCTGCAAGTGGATATTTGGAACGATTTGAGGCCTACATTTGAAAATCAAATATCTTCCCTCAAAACCTACACAGAAACATTCTCAGAAATTGTTTGTCATGTGGGCTTTCAAATTACCAAGTTGAACCTATCTTGTGATTGAGCAGTTCTGAATCTCTCTTTTTGTGGAATCTGCAAATGGATATTTTTAGCCCTTTGCGGACTGTGGTGGAAAAGGAATTATCTTCAAATCCATTCTACACAGAAGCATTCAGACAAACTTCTTGGTGATGAGTGCATTGGTCACACAGAATTGAACCTCTCCTTTGATTGAGCAATTCTGAAACACTCTTTCAGAGGGTCTGCAAGTGGATATTTTAGAGCTTTGGGACAATTGTGGAAAAGTAAATATCTTCACATAGAAACCACACGGAAGCATTCTGAGAAACTTCTTTGGAGGTGTGCATTCAACTCACAGAGTTGAACCTATCTTTTCATTGAGCAGTTTTGAATCTCTCTTTTTGTAGACTCTGCTTGCAGATATTTGGAGAGCTTTGAGGCCTATTGTGGAAAAGGGAATATGTTCACATAAAAACACACAGAAGCACTCTGAGAAACTTCTTTGTGAGGTGTGCATTCAACTCACAGAGTTGAACCTATCTTTTGATGGAGAAGTTTTGAATCTCTCTTTTTGTAGAAGCTGCATGTGGATATTTGGAGACGTTTGTGGCCTATGGTAGAAAAGGATATATCTTCAAATAAAAACTAGACAGAAGCATTTTGAGAAAATTCTCTGTGCTGTGTGCATTCATATCACATGGTTGAAACTACCTTTTGATTGAGCAGTTTCGAGTCTCTCTGTTTGTACCATCTGCAATGGATATTTGGAGCCCTTTGTGGTCTGTGGTGGAAAAGGAACTATCCTCAAATAAAAACTACACGGAAGTATTCTGAGAAACTTCTTTGTGATGTGTGCATTTATCTCACAGAGTTGAACCTTTGGTTTGATTGAGCAGTTTTGAGATAATCTTTCCATAGAATCTGGAAGTGAATACTTGGATAACTTTGAGATCTATTTTGGAGAAGGAGATATCTTTATATAAAAACTGCACAGAAGCATTCTGAGAAACATCTTTGTGAGGTGTGCAATGAAGTCACAGAGTTGAAACTATCTTTTGATTCAGCAGTTTTGAGTCTCTCTTTTTGCAGAATCTGCGAGTGGATATCTGGAGAACGTTGAGGCCTACTTGGAAAAGGAAATATCTTCACATAAAAACTACGCAGAAGCATTTTGAGATACTTCTTTGTGAGGTGTGCATTCAACTCACAGAGTTGAACTTATCTTTCCATGGAGCACTTTCATATCTCTTTTTTTGTGGAATCTGCAAGTGGATATTTGGAGCTCTTTGCACCCTGTGGTGGAAAGGGAAATATCTTCATATAAAAACTACAAAGAAGCATTCAGAGAAACTTCTTTGTGATGAATGCATTCCTCACACAGAGTTGAGCCTTTCTTTTTATTGAGCAGTATTGAAACGCTCCTTTTGCAGAATCACCAAGTGGATATTTGGAGAGCTTTGGGGCCTGATTTGGAAAATGAAATATCTTCAAAGTAAAACTACACAGAACCATTCTGAGAAACTTCTTCATGATGTGAGCATTCAACTCTCAGAGTTGAAGCTACCTTATGATTGAGCAATTTGGAAACACTCTTTTTGTAGAGCCTGCAAGTGGATATTTAGAACGATTTGAGGCCTATTGTGGAAAAGCAAATATCTTCACATAAAAACTACACAGAAGCATTCTCAGAGACTTCTTTGGGATGTGTGCATTCAACTAACAGTGTTGAACCTATCTTTTGATTGAGCAGCTTAGAATCTCTCCTTTTGTAGAAAATGCAAGTAGAGATTTGGAGCCCCATTTCGCCCTATGGTAGAAAACAGAACATCTTCACATAAAAACTACGCAGAAGCATTCTGAGAAACTTCTTTGTGATGTTTGCATTGAACTCCCAGAGTCGAACCTATCTTTTGATAGAGCAGTTTTGTATCTCTCTTTTTGCAGAATCTGCAAGTGGATATTTGGAAAGCTTGAGGCCTATTGTGAAAAAGGAAATATCTTCACATAGAAACTACAGAGAAGCATTCTGAGAAACTTCTCTGTGAGGCATGGATTCAACCCACAGAGTTGGACTTATCATTGAGCAGTTTTGAATCTCTCTTTTTGTCGAATCTGCAAGTGGATATTTGGAGCCCTTTTGCAACCTATGGTGGAAAAGGAAACACCTTCACATAAAAACTATATAGAAGCATTCCGAAAAACTTCTTTGTGATGTGTGCATTCATCTCACAGAGTTGAACCTATCTAATGATTGAGCAGTTTTGAAACACTCATTTTGTAGAACCTGGAAGTGGATATTGGGAGTAGTTTGTGGCCTTCTTTGGAAAAGGAAATATCTTCACATGAAAACTACAAAGAAGCATTCTGAGAAACTTCTTTGTGATGTGTGCATGCATCTCACAGTGTTGGACGTTTCTTTTGATAGGGCAGTTTCGAAAGAGTCTTCTTGTAGAGTCTGCAAGTGGATATTTGGAGCGCTTTGAGGCCTAATGTGGAAAATCAAATATCTTCACATAAAAACTACACAGAGGCATTCTGAGAAACTTCTTTTTTGTGTGTGCATTCAACTCACATAGTTGAAGTTATCTTTCGATTTAGCTGTTTTGAATCTCCTTTTTGCAGAATCTGCAAGTTGATACCTGGAGCCCTGTTTCACCCTATAGTGGAAAAGCAAATATCTTCACATAAACAAACACTACAGAGAAGCATTCAGAGAAAGTCCTTTGTGATGTGTGCATTGAACACGCAGAGTTGAAACTATCTTTTGATTGTACAGTTTTGAATATCTCTTTTTGTAGAATCTGCAAGTGGAAGTTTGGAGCTGTTTGCACGCTGTGGTGCAAAAGGAAATATCTTCATATAAAAACTACACAGAAGCTTTCAGAGAGACTTCTTTGTGAGGAATGCGTTCCTCACACAGAGTTGAATCTACCTTTTTATTGAGTAGTTTTGAAACCCTCTTTTTGCAGAATAACCAGGGGGATATTTGGAGAGCTTTGAGGCCTGTTTTGGAAAAGGAAATATCTTCAAATTAAAACCACACAGAAGCATTCTGAGAAACTTCTTTGTGATGTGTGCATTCAACTCTCAGAGTTGAACGTGTCTTATGATGGAGCAGTTTGGAAACACTCTTTTTGTAGAAACTGCAAGTGGATATGTAGAGCGATTTGAGGCCTACTGTGGAAAAGCAAATATCTTCACATAACAACTACACAGAAGCACTCCTAGAAACTTCTTTGTGATGTGTGAATTCAACTCACAGAGCTGAACCTATCTTTTGATGGAGTAGCTTAGAATGTCTCTTTTTTTAGAATCTGCACGTGGATATTTGGAGCGCTTTGAGACCTAAAGTGGAAAAGCAAATATCTTCACATAAAATCTACATAGAGGCACTCTAAGAAACTTCTTTTTGATGTGTGCATTCAACTCACAGAGCGGAAGCACACAGTGCTTGAGTGACCAGTTTTGAATCTCTCTTTTTGTACAATCTGCAAGTGGATATTGGGAGCCCTTTGCGGCCTGTGGTGGAAAAGGAAATATCTTCAAATAAAAACTACACAGAAGCATTCTGAGAAACTTCTTTGTGATGTGTACATTCATCTCACAGAGTTGACAATTTCTTTTGATTGAGCAGTTTTGAAACACTGCTTTTGTAGAGTCTGGAAGTTGATATTTGGAGGGCTTTGAGGTCTATTTCGGAAAAGAAAATATCTTCACTTAAAAACTAGGCAGAAATACTGTGAGAAACTTCTTTGTTATGTGAGCATTCAACTCACAGAGCTGAACCTATCTTTTGATTGAGCAGTTTTGAATCTCTCATTTTGCAGAATCTGCAAGGGGATATTTGGAGCCCTTTGCTACCTAGGGTGGAAAAGGAAATACCTCCAAATAAAAACTACACAGAGGCATTCTGAGAAACTTCTTGTGATTGTGCATTCAACTCACAGAGTTAAACCTATCTTATGATTGACCAGTTTTGGAACACTGTTTTCACAGGATCTGCAAGTGGATATTTGGTGTGCTTTGAGGCCTATCGTGGAAAAGCAAGTAACTTCAGATAAAAACTATACAGAAGCATTCTGAGAAACTTCTTTGTGATGTGTGCATTGATCTCACAGAGTTGAAAGTGTATTTTGATTGAGCAGTTTTAAAACACTCCTTCTGTAGAATCTGCAAGTGGATAATTGGAGAGATTTGAGGTATGTTGTGGAAAAGCAAATATCTTCATATAAAAACTATACAGAAGCCTTCTGAGAAACATCTTTGTGAGGTTTGCATTCAACTCACAGAGCTGGACCTATCTCTTGAGTGACCAGTTTTGAATCTCTCTTTTTGTTCAATCTGCAAGTGGATATTTGGAGCGATTTGAGGCCTACATTTGAAAATCAAATATCTTCCCTTAAAAACTACACAGAAACATTCTCAGAAATTGTTTGTCATGTGGGCTTTCAAATTACCAAGTTGAACCTATCTTGTGATTGAGCAGTTCTGAATCTCTCTTTTTGTGGAATCTGCAAATGGATATTTTTAGCCCTTTGCGGACTGTGGTGGAAAAGGAATTATCTTCAAATCCATTCTACACAGAAGCATTCAGACAAACTTCTTGGTGATGAGTGCATTGGTCACACAGAATTGAACCTCTCCTTTGATTGAGCAATTCTGAAACACTCTTTCAGAGGGTCTGCAAGTGGATATTTTAGAGCTTTGGGACAATTGTGGAAAAGTAAATATCTTCACATAGAAACTACACGGAAAGCATTCTGAGAAACTTCTTTGGAGGTGTGCATTCAACTCACAGAGTTGAACCTATCTTTTCATTGAGCAGTTTTGAATCTCTCTTTTTGTAGACTCTGCTTGCAGATACTTGGAGAGCTTTGAGGCCTATTGTGGAAAAGGAATCATCTTCACATAAAAACACACAGAAGCACTCTGAGAAACTTCTTTGTGAGGTGTGCATTCAACTCACAGAGTTGAACCTATCTTTTGATGGAGAAGTTTTGAATCTCTCTTTTTGTAGAAGCTGCATGTGGATATTTGGAGACGTTTGTGGCCTATGGTAGAAAAGGATATATCTTCAAATAAAAACTAGACAGAAGCATTTTGAGAAAATTCTCTGTGCTGTGTGCATTCATATCACATGGTTGAAACTACCTTTTGATTGAGCAGTTTCGAGTCTCTCTGTTTGTACCATCTGCAATGGATATTTGGAGCCCTTTGTGGTCTGTGGTGGAAAAGGAACTATCCTCAAATAAAAACTACACGGAAGTATTCTGAGAAACTTCTTTGTGATGTGTGCATTTATCTCACAGAGTTGAACCTTTGGTTTGATTGAGCAGTTTTGAGATAATCTTTCCATAGAATCTGGAAGTGAATACTTGGATAACTTTGAGATCTATTTTGGAGAAGGAGATATCTTTATATAAAAACTGCACAGAAGCATTCTGAGAAACATCTTTGTGAGGTGTGCAATGAAGTCACAGAGTTGAAACTATCTTTTGATTCAGCAGTTTTGAGTCTCTCTTTTTGCAGAATCTGCGAGTGGATATCTGGAGAACGTTGAGGCCTACTTGGAAAAGGAAATATCTTCACATAAAAACTACGCAGAAGCATTTTGAGATACTTCTTTGTGAGGTGTGCATTCAACTCACAGAGTTGAACTTATCTTTCCATGGAGCACTTTCATATCTCTTTTTTTGTGGAATCTGCAAGTGGATATTTGGAGCTCTTTGCACCCTGTGGTGGAAAGGGAAATATCTTCATATAAAAACTACAAAGAAGCATTCAGAGAAACTTCTTTGTGATGAATGCATTCCTCACACAGAGTTGAGCCTTTCTTTTTATTGAGCAGTATTGAAACGCTCCTTTTGCAGAATCACCAAGTGGATATTTGGAGAGCTTTGGGGCCTGATTTGGAAAATGAAATATCTTCAAAGTAAAACTACACAGAACCATTCTGAGAAACTTCTTCATGATGTGAGCATTCAACTCTCAGAGTTGAAGCTACCTTATGATTGAGCAATTTGGAAACACTCTTTTTGTAGAGCCTGCAAGTGGATATTTAGAACGATTTGAGGCCTATTGTGGAAAAGCAAATATCTTCACATAAAAACTACACAGAAGCATTCTCAGAGACTTCTTTGGGATGTGTGCATTCAACTAACAGTGTTGAACCTATCTTTTGATTGAGCAGCTTAGAATCTCTCCTTTTGTAGAAAATGCAAGTAGAGATTTGGAGCCCCATTTCGCCCTATGGTAGAAAACAGAACATCTTCACATAAAAACTACGCAGAAGCATTCTGAGAAACTTCTTTGTGATGTTTGCATTGAACTCCCAGAGTCGAACCTATCTTTTGATAGAGCAGTTTTGTATCTCTCTTTTTGCAGAATCTGCAAGTGGATATTTGGAAAGCTTGAGGCCTATTGTGAAAAAGGAAATATCTTCACATAGAAACTACAGAGAAGCATTCTGAGAAACTTCTCTGTGAGGCATGGCATTCAACCCACAGAGTTGGACTTATCATTGAGCAGTTTTGAATCTCTCTTTTGGTCGAATCTGCAAGTGGATATTTGGAGCCCTTTTGCAACCTATGGTGGAAAAGGAAACACCTTCACATAAAAACTATATAGAAGCATTCCGAAAAACTTCTTTGTGATGTGTGCATTCATCTCACAGAGTTGAACCTATCTAATGATTGAGCAGTTTTGAAACACTCATTTTGTAGAACCTGGAAGTGGATATTGGGAGTAGTTTGTGGCCTTCTTTGGAAAAGGAAATATCTTCACATGAAAACTACAAAGAAGCATTCTGAGAAACTTCTTTGTGATGTGTGCATGCATCTCACAGTGTTGGACGTTTCTTTTGATGGGGCAGTTTCGAAAGAGTCTTCTTGTAGAGTCTGCAAGTGGATATTTGGAGCGCTTTGAGGCCTAATGTGGAAAATCAAATATCTTCACATAAAAACTACACAGAGGCATTCTGAGAAACTTCTTTTTTGTGTGTGCATTCAACTCACATAGTTGAAGTTATCTTTCGATTTAGCTGTTTTGAATCTCCTTTTTGCAGAATCTGCAAGTTGATACCTGGAGCCCTGTTTCACCCTATAGTGGAAAAGCAAATCTCTTCACATAAACAAACACTACAGAGAAGCATTCAGAGAAAGTCCTTTGTGATGTGTGCATTGAACACGCAGAGTTGAAACTATCTTTTGATTGTACAGTTTTGAATATCTCTTTTTGTAGAATCTGCAAGTGGAAGTTTGGAGCTGTTTGCACGCTGTGGTGCAAAAGGAAATATCTTCATATAAAAACTACACAGAAGCTTTCAGAGAGACTTCTTTGTGAGGAATGCGTTCCTCACACAGAGTTGAATCTACCTTTTTATTGAGTAGTTTTGAAACCCTCTTTTTGCAGAATAACCAGGGGGATATTTGGAGAGCTTTGAGGCCTGTTTTGGAAAAGGAAATATCTTCAAATTAAAACCACACAGAAGCATTCTGAGAAACTTCTTTGTGATGTGTGCATTCAACTCTCAGAGTTGAACGTGTCTTATGATGGAGCAGTTTGGAAACACTCTTTTTGTAGAAACTGCAAGTGGATATGTAGAGCGATTTGAGGCCTACTGTGGAAAAGCAAATATCTTCACATAACAACTACACAGAAGCACTCCTAGAAACTTCTTTGTGATGTGTGAATTCAACTCACAGAGCTGAACCTATCTTTTGATGGAGTAGCTTAGAATGTCTCTTTTTTTAGAATCTGCACGTGGATATTTGGAGCGCTTTGAGACCTAAAGTGGAAAAGCAAATATCTTCACATAAAATCTACATAGAGGCACTCTAAGAAACTTCTTTTTGATGTGTGCATTCAACTCACAGAGCGGAAGCACACAGTGCTTGAGTGACCAGTTTTGAATCTCTCTTTTTGTACAATCTGCAAGTGGATATTGGGAGCCCTTTGCGGCCTGTGGTGGAAAAGGAAATATCTTCAAATAAAAACTACACAGAAGCATTCTGAGAAACTTCTTTGTGATGTGTACATTCATCTCACAGAGTTGACAATTTCTTTTGATTGAGCAGTTTTGAAACACTGCTTTTGTAGAGTCTGGAAGTTGATATTTGGGAGGGCTTTGAGGTCTATTTCGGAAAAGAAAATATCTTCACTTAAAAACTAGGCAGAAATACTGTGAGAAACTTCTTTGTTATGTGAGCATTCAACTCACAGAGCTGAACCTATCTTTTGATTGAGCAGTTTTGAATCTCTCATTTTGCAGAATCTGCAAGGGGATATTTGGAGCCCTTTGCTACCTAGGGTGGAAAAGGAAATACCTCCAAATAAAAACTACACAGAGGCATTCTGAGAAACTTCTTGTGATTGTGCATTCAACTCACAGAGTTAAACCTATCTTATGATTGACCAGTTTTGGAACACTGTTTTCACAGGATCTGCAAGTGGATATTTGGTGTGCTTTGAGGCCTATCGTGGAAAAGCAAGTAACTTCAGATAAAAACTATACAGAAGCATTCTGAGAAACTTCTTTGTGATGTGTGCATTGATCTCACAGAGTTGAAAGTGTATTTTGATTGAGCAGTTTTAAAACACTCCTTCTGTAGAATCTGCAAGTGGATAATTGGAGAGATTTGAGGTATGTTGTGGAAAAGCAAATATCTTCATATAAAAACTATACAGAAGCCTTCTGAGAAACATCTTTGTGAGGTTTGCATTCAACTCACAGAGCTGGACCTATCTCTTGAGTGACCAGTTTTGAATCTCTCTTTTTGTTCAATCTGCAAGTGGATATTTGGAGCGATTTGAGGCCTACATTTGAAAATCAAATATCTTCCCTTAAAAACTACACAGAAACATTCTCAGAAATTGTTTGTCATGTGGGCTTTCAAATTACCAAGTTGAACCTATCTTGTGATTGAGCAGTTCTGAATCTCTCTTTTTGTGGAATCTGCAAATGGATATTTTTAGCCCTTTGCGGACTGTGGTGGAAAAGGAATTATCTTCAAATCCATTCTACACAGAAGCATTCAGACAAACTTCTTGGTGATGAGTGCATTGGTCACACAGAATTGAACCTCTCCTTTGATTGAGCAATTCTGAAACACTCTTTCAGAGGGTCTGCAAGTGGATATTTTAGAGCTTTGGGACAATTGTGGAAAAGTAAATATCTTCACATAGAAACCACACGGAAGCATTCTGAGAAACTTCTTTGGAGGTGTGCATTCAACTCACAGAGTTGAACCTATCTTTTCATTGAGCAGTTTTGAATCTCTCTTTTTGTAGACTCTGCTTGCAGATACTTGGAGAGCTTTGAGGCCTATTGTGGAAAAGGAATCATCTTCACATAAAAACACACAGAAGCACTCTGAGAAACTTCTTTGTGAAGTGTGCATTCAACTCACAGAGTTGAACCTATCTTTTGATTGAGAAGCTTTGAATCTCTCTTTTTGTAGAAGCTGCATGTGGATATTTGGAGACGTTTGTGGCCTATGGTAGAAAAGGCAATATCTTCAAATAAAAACTAGACAGAAGCATTTTGAGAAATTTCTCTGTGCTGTGTGCATTCATATCACATGGTTGAAACTACCTTTTGGTTGAGCAGTTTTGAATCTCTCTTTTTGTAACATCTGCAATGGATATTTGGAGCCCTTTGTGGTCTGTGGTGGAAAAGGAACTATCCTCAAATAAAAACTACACAGAAGTATTCCGAGAAACTTCCTTGTGATGTGTGCATTCATCTCACAGGGTTGAACCTTTGGTTTGATTGAGCAGTTTTGAGACAATCTTTCCATAGAATCTGGAAGTGAATATTTGGAGAACCTTGAGATCTATTTTGGAGAAGGAGATATCTTTATATGAAAACTGCACAGAAGCATTCTGAGAAACATCTTTGTGAGGTGTGCAATGAAGTCACAGAGTTGAAACTATGTTTTGATTCAGCAGTTTTGAGTCTCTCTTTTTGCAGAATCTGCGAGTGGATATCTGGAGAACTTGGAGGCCTATTTGGAAAAGGAAATATCTTCACATATAAACTATGCAGAAGCATTTTGAGATTCTTCTTTGTGAGGTGTGCATGCAACTCACAGAGTTGAACTTATCTTTTCCTTGAGCACTTTCATATCTCATTTTCTGTAGAATCTGCAAGTGGATATTTGGAGCTCTTTGCACCCTGTGGTGGAAAGGGAACTATCTTCATATAAAAACTACAAAGAAGCATTCAGAGAAACTTCTTGTGATGAATGCATTCCTCACACAGAGCTGAACCTTTCTTTTTATGGAGCAGTATTGAAACGCTCTTTTTGCAGAATCACCAAGTGGATATTTGGAGAGCTTTGGGGCCTGTTTTGGAAAATGAAATATCTTCAAAGTAAAACTACACAGAACCATTCTGAGAAACTTCTTTATGATGTGTGCATTCAACTCTCAGAGTTGAACCTACCTTATGATTGAGCAATTTGGAAACACTCTTTTTGTAGAGCCTGCAAGTGGATATTTAGAACGATTTGAGGCCTATTGTGGAAAAGCAAATATCTTCACATAAAAACTACACAGAAGCATTCTGAGAAACTTCTTTGGCATGTGTGCATTCAACTAACAGTGTTGAACGTATCTTTTGATTGAGCAGCTTAGAATCTCTCTTTTTGTAGAAAATGCAAGTAGATATTTGGAGCCCCATTTTGCCCTATGGTAGAAAACAAAACATCTTCACATAAAATCTACACAGAAAGCATTCTGAGAAACTTCTTTGTGATGTTTGCATTCAACTCACCGAGTCGAACCTATTTTTTGATAGAGCAGTTTTGTATCTCTCTTTTTGCAGAATCTGCAAGTGGATATTTGGAAAGCTTTGAGGCCTATTGTGGAAAAGGAAATATCTACACATAAAAACTACAGAGAAGCATTCTGAGAAACTTCTTTGTGAAGTATAGATTCAACCCACAGAGTTGGACTTATCTTTTCATTGAGCAGTTTTGAATGTCTCTTTTTGTAGAATCTGCATATGGATATTTGGAGCCCTTTGCAACCTATGGTGGAAAAGGAAATAACTTCAAATAACAACTACACAGAAGCATTCCGTAAAACTTCTTTGTGACGTGTGCATTCGTCTCACAGAGTTGAACCTATCTAATGATTGAGCGGTTTTGAAACACTCATTTTGTAGAACCTGCAAGTGGATATTGGGAGTACTTTGTGGCCTTCTTTGGAAAAGGGAATATCTTCACATAAAAATTACAAAGAAGCATTCTGAGAAACTTCTTTGTGATGTGTGCATGCATCTCACAGTGTTGGACGTTTCTTTTGATAGGGCAGTTTCGAAAGAGTCTTCTTGTAGAGTCTGCAAGTGGATATTTGGAGCGCTTTGAGGCCTAATGTGGAAAATCAAATATCTTCACATAAAAACTACACAGAGGCATTCTGAGAAACTTCTTTTTTGTGTGTGCATTCAACTCACATAGTTGAAGTTATCTTTCGATTTAGCTGTTTTGAATCTCCTTTTTGCAGAATCTGCAAGTTGATACCTGGAGCCCTGTTTCACCCTATAGTGGAAAAGGAAATATCTTCACATAAACAAACACTACAGAGAAGCATTCAGAGAAAGTCCTTTGTGATGTGTGCATTGAACACGCAGAGTTGAAACTATCTTTTGATTGTACAGTTTTGAATATCTCTTTTTGTAGAATCTGCAAGTGGAAGTTTGGAGCTGTTTGCACGCTGTGGTGCAAAAGGAAATATCTTCAAATAAAAACTACACAGAAGCTTTCAGAGAGACTTCTTTGTGAGGAATGCGTTCCTCACACAGAGTTGAATCTACCTTTTTATTGAGTAGTTTTGAAACCCTCTTTTTGCAGAATAACCAGGGGGATATTTGGAGAGCTTTGAGGCCTGTTTTGGAAAAGGAAATATCTTCAAATTAAAACCACACAGAAGCATTCTGAGAAACTTCTTTGTGATGTGTGCATTCAACTCTCAGAGTTGAACGTGTCTTATGATGGAGCAGTTTGGAAACACTCTTTTTGTAGAAACTGCAAGTGGATATGTAGAGCGATTTGAGGCCTACTGTGGAAAAGCAAATATCTTCACATAACAACTACACAGAAGCACTCCTAGAAACTTCTTTGTGATGTGTGAATTCAACTCACAGAGCTGAACCTATCTTTTGATGGAGTAGCTTAGAATGTCTCTTTTTTTAGAATCTGCACGTGGATATTTGGAGCGCTTTGAGACCTAAAGTGGAAAAGCAAATATCTTCACATAAAATCTACATAGAGGCACTCTAAGAAACTTCTTTTTGATGTGTGCATTCAACTCACAGAGCGGAAGCACACAGTGCTTGAGTGACCAGTTTTGAATCTCTCTTTTTGTACAATCTGCAAGTGGATATTGGGAGCCCTTTGCGGCCTGTGGTGGAAAAGGAAATATCTTCAAATAAAAACTACACAGAAGCATTCTGAGAAACTTCTTTGTGATGTGTACATTCATCTCACAGAGTTGACAATTTCTTTTGATTGAGCAGTTTTGAAACACTGCTTTTGTAGAGTCTGGAAGTTGATATTTGGAGGGCTTTGAGGTCTATTTCGGAAAAGAAAATATCTTCACTTAAAAACTAGGCAGAAATACTGTGAGAAACTTCTTTGTTATGTGAGCATTCAACTCACAGAGCTGAACCTATCTTTTGATTGAGCAGTTTTGAATCTCTCATTTTGCAGAATCTGCAAGGGGATATTTGGAGCCCTTTTGCTACCTAGGGTGGAAAAGGAAATACCTCCAAATAAAAACTACACAGAGGCATTCTGAGAAACTTCTTGTGATTGTGCATTCAACTCACAGAGTTAAACCTATCTTATGATTGACCAGTTTTGGAACACTGTTTTCACAGGATCTGCAAGTGGATATTTGGTGTGCTTTGAGGCCTATCGTGGAAAAGCAAGTAACTTCAGATAAAAACTATACAGAAGCATTCTGAGAAACTTCTTTGTGATGTGTGCATTGATCTCACAGAGTTGAAAGTGTATTTTGATTGAGCAGTTTTAAAACACTCCTTCTGTAGAATCTGCAAGTGGATAATTGGAGAGATTTGAGGTATGTTGTGGAAAAGCAAATATCTTCATATAAAAACTATACAGAAGCCTTCTGAGAAACATCTTTGTGAGGTTTGCATTCAACTCACAGAGCTGGACCTATCTCTTGAGTGACCAGTTTTGAATCTCTCTTTTTGTTCAATCTGCAAGTGGATATTTGGAGCGATTTGAGGCCTACATTTGAAAATCAAATATCTTCCCTTAAAAACTACACAGAAACATTCTCAGAAATTGTTTGTCATGTGGGCTTTCAAATTACCAAGTTGAACCTATCTTGTGATTGAGCAGTTCTGAATCTCTCTTTTTGTGGAATCTGCAAATGGATATTTTTAGCCCTTTGCGGACTGTGGTGGAAAAGGAATTATCTTCAAATCCATTCTACACAGAAGCATTCAGACAAACTTCTTGGTGATGAGTGCATTGGTCACACAGAATTGAACCTCTCCTTTGATTGAGCAATTCTGAAACACTCTTTCAGAGGGTCTGCAAGTGGATATTTTAGAGCTTTGGGACAATTGTGGAAAAGTAAATATCTTCACATAGAAACTACACGGAAGCATTCTGAGAAACTTCTTTGGAGGTGTGCATTCAACTCACAGAGTTGAACCTATCTTTTCATTGAGCAGTTTTGAATCTCTCTTTTTGTAGACTCTGCTTGCAGATATTTGGAGAGCTTTGAGGCCTATTGTGGAAAAGGGAATATGTTCACATAAAAACACACAGAAGCACTCTGAGAAACTTCTTTGTGAGGTGTGCATTCAACTCACAGAGTTGAACCTATCTTTTGATGGAGAAGTTTTGAATCTCTCTTTTTGTAGAAGCTGCATGTGGATATTTGGAGACGTTTGTGGCCTATGGTAGAAAAGGATATATCTTCAAATAAAAACTAGACAGAAGCATTTTGAGAAAATTCTCTGTGCTGTGTGCATTCATATCACATGGTTGAAACTACCTTTTGATTGAGCAGTTTCGAGTCTCTCTGTTTGTACCATCTGCAATGGATATTTGGAGCCCTTTGTGGTCTGTGGTGGAAAAGGAACTATCCTCAAATAAAAACTACACGGAAAGTATTCTGAGAAACTTCTTTGTGATGTGTGCATTTATCTCACAGAGTTGAACCTTTGGTTTGATTGAGCAGTTTTGAGATAATCTTTCCATAGAATCTGGAAGTGAATACTTGGATAACTTTGAGATCTATTTTGGAGAAGGAGATATCTTTATATAAAAACTGCACAGAAGCATTCTGAGAAACATCTTTGTGAGGTGTGCAATGAAGTCACAGAGTTGAAACTATCTTTTGATTCAGCAGTTTTGAGTCTCTCTTTTTGCAGAATCTGCGAGTGGATATCTGGAGAACGTTGAGGCCTACTTGGAAAAGGAAATATCTTCACATAAAAACTACGCAGAAGCATTTTGAGATACTTCTTTGTGAGGTGTGCATTCAACTCACAGAGTTGAACTTATCTTTCCATGGAGCACTTTCATATCTCTTTTTTTGTGGAATCTGCAAGTGGATATTTGGAGCTCTTTGCACCCTGTGGTGGAAAGGGAAATATCTTCATATAAAAACTACAAAGAAGCATTCAGAGAAACTTCTTTGTGATGAATGCATTCCTCACACAGAGTTGAGCCTTTCTTTTTATTGAGCAGTATTGAAACGCTCTTTTTGCAGAATCACCAAGTGGATATTTGGAGAGCTTTGGGGCCTGATTTGGAAAATGAAATATCTTCAAAGTAAAACTACACAGAACCATTCTGAGAAACTTCTTCATGATGTGAGCATTCAACTCTCAGAGTTGAAGCTACCTTATGATTGAGCAATTTGGAAACACTCTTTTTGTAGAGCCTGCAAGTGGATATTTAGAACGATTTGAGGCCTATTGTGGAAAAGCAAATATCTTCACATAAAAACTACACAGAAGCATTCTCAGAGACTTCTTTGGGATGTGTGCATTCAACTAACAGTGTTGAACCTATCTTTTGATTGAGCAGCTTAGAATCTCTCCTTTTGTAGAAAATGCAAGTAGAGATTTGGAGCCCCATTTCGCCCTATGGTAGAAAACAGAACATCTTCACATAAAAACTACGCAGAAGCATTCTGAGAAACTTCTTTGTGATGTTTGCATTGAACTCCCAGAGTCGAACCTATCTTTTGATAGAGCAGTTTTGTATCTCTCTTTTTGCAGAATCTGCAAGTGGATATTTGGAAAGCTTGAGGCCTATTGTGAAAAAGGAAATATCTTCACATAGAAACTACAGAGAAGCATTCTGAGAAACTTCTCTGTGAGGCATGGATTCAACCCACAGAGTTGGACTTATCATTGAGCAGTTTTGAATCTCTCTTTTGGTCGAATCTGCAAGTGGATATTTGGAGCCCTTTTGCAACCTATGGTGGAAAAGGAAACACCTTCACATAAAAACTATATAGAAGCATTCCGAAAAACTTCTTTGTGATGTGTGCATTCATCTCACAGAGTTGAACCTATCTAATGATTGAGCAGTTTTGAAACACTCATTTTGTAGAACCTGGAAGTGGATATTGGGAGTAGTTTGTGGCCTTCTTTGGAAAAGGAAATATCTTCACATGAAAACTACAAAGAAGCATTCTGAGAAACTTCTTTGTGATGTGTGCATGCATCTCACAGTGTTGGACGTTTCTTTTGATAGGGCAGTTTCGAAAGAGTCTTCTTGTAGAGTCTGCAAGTGGATATTTGGAGCGCTTTGAGGCCTAATGTGGAAAATCAAATATCTTCACATAAAAACTACACAGAGGCATTCTGAGAAACTTCTTTTTTGTGTGTGCATTCAACTCACATAGTTGAAGTTATCTTTCGATTTAGCTGTTTTGAATCTCCTTTTTGCAGAATCTGCAAGTTGATACCTGGAGCCCTGTTTCACCCTATAGTGGAAAAGCAAATATCTTCACATAAACAAACACTACAGAGAAGCATTCAGAGAAAGTCCTTTGTGATGTGTGCATTGAACATGCAGAGTTGAAACTATCTTTTGATTGTACAGTTTTGAATATCTCTTTTTGTAGAATCTGCAAGTGGAAGTTTGGAGCTGTTTGCACGCTGTGGTGCAAAAGGAAATATCTTCATATAAAAACTACACAGAAGCTTTCAGAGAGACTTCTTTGTGAGGAATGCGTTCCTCACACAGAGTTGAATCTACCTTTTTATTGAGTAGTTTTGAAACCCTCTTTTTGCAGAATAACCAGGGGGATATTTGGAGAGCTTTGAGGCCTGTTTTGGAAAAGGAAATATCTTCAAATTAAAACCACACAGAAGCATTCTGAGTAAACTTCTTTGTGATGTGTGCATTCAACTCTCAGAGTTGAACGTGTCTTATGATGGAGCAGTTTGGAAACACTCTTTTTGTAGAAACTGCAAGTGGATATGTAGAGCGATTTGAGGCCTACTGTGGAAAAGCAAATATCTTCACATAACAACTACACAGAAGCACTCCTAGAAACTTCTTTGTGATGTGTGAATTCAACTCACAGAGCTGAACCTATCTTTTGATGGAGTAGCTTAGAATCTCTCTTTTTTTAGAATCTGCACGTGGATATTTGGAGCGCTTTGAGACCTAAAGTGGAAAAGCAAATATCTTCACATAAAATCTACATAGAGGCACTCTAAGAAACTTCTTTTTGATGTGTGCATTCACCTCACAGAGCTGAACCGATCCTTCGAGTGACCAGTTTTGAATCTCTCTTTTTATACAATCTGCAAGTGGATATTTGGAGCCCTTTGCGGCCTATGGTGGAAAAGGAAATATCTTCAAATAAAAACTACACAGAAGAAACTTCTTTGTTATGTGAGCATTCAACTCACAGAGTTGAACCTATCTTTTGATTGAGCAGTTTTGAATCTCTCATTTTGCAGAATCTGCAAGGGGATATTTGGAGCCCTTTGCGGCCTATGGTGGAAAAGGAAATACCTTCAAATGAAAAGCACACAGAGGCATTCTGAGAAACTTCCTCGTGATTGTGCATTCAACTCACAGAGTTAAACCTATCTTATGATTGACCAGTTTTGGAACACTCTTTTCATAGGATCTGCAAGTGGATATTTGGCGTGCTTTGAGGCCTATCGTGGAAAAGCAAATAACTTCAGATAAAAACTATACAGAAGCATTCTGAGAAACTTCTTTGTGATGTGTGCATTGATCTCACAGAGTTGAAAGTGTATTTTGATTGAGCAGTTTTGAAACACTCTTTTTGTAGAATCTGCAAGTGGATAATTGGGGAGATTTGAGGTATATTGTGGAAAAGCAAGTATCTTCATATAAAAACTATACAGAAGCTTTCTGAGAAACCTCTTTGTGAGGTTTGCATTCAACTCACAGAGCTGGAACTATCTTTTGAGTGACCAGTTTTGAATCTCTCTTTTTGTACAATCTGCAAGTGGATATTTGGAGCGTTTTGAGGCCTACATTTGAAAATCAAATATCTTCCCTTAAAAGCTACACAGAAACATTCTCAGAAATTGTTTGTCATGTGTGCTTTCAAATTACCAAGTTGAACCTACCTTGTGATTGAGCAGTTTTGAATCTCTCTTTTTGTGGAATCTGCAAGTGGATATTTTTAGCCATTTGCGGACTGTGGTGGAAAAGGAATTATCTTCAAATCCATTCTACACAGAAGCATTCAGACAAACTTTTTGTGATGAGTGCATTGGTCACACAGAATTGAACCTCTCCTTTGATTGAGCAATTCTGAAACACTCTTTCAGAGGGTCTGCAAGTGGATATTTTAGAGCTTTGGGACAATTGTGGAAAAGTAAATATCTTCACATAGAAACTACACGGAAGCATTCTGAGAAACTTCTTTGGAGGTGTGCATTCAACTCACAGAGTTGAACCTATCTTTTCATTGAGCAGTTTTGAATCTCTCTTTTTGTAGACTCTGCTTGCAGATACTTGGAGAGCTTTGAGGCCTATTGTGGAAAAGGAATCATCTTCACATAAAAACACACAGAAGCACTCTGAGAAACTTCTTTGTGAAGTGTGCATTCAACTCACAGAGTTGAACCTATCTTTTGATTGAGAAGCTTTGAATCTCTCTTTTTGTAGAAGCTGCATGTGGATATTTGGAGACGTTTGTGGCCTATGGTAGAAAAGGCAATATCTTCAAATAAAAACTAGACAGAAGCATTTTGAGAAATTTCTCTGTGCTGTGTGCATTCATATCACATGGTTGAAACTACCTTTTGGTTGAGCAGTTTTGAATCTCTCTTTTTGTAACATCTGCAATGGATATTTGGAGCCCTTTGTGGTCTGTGGTGGAAAAGGAACTATCCTCAAATAAAAACTACACAGAAGTATTCCGAGAAACTTCCTTGTGATGTGTGCATTCATCTCACAGGGTTGAACCTTTGGTTTGATTGAGCAGTTTTGAGACAATCTTTCCATAGAATCTGGAAGTGAATATTTGGAGAACCTTGAGATCTATTTTGGAGAAGGAGATATCTTTATATGAAAACTGCACAGAAGCATTCTGAGAAACATCTTTGTGAGGTGTGCAATGAAGTCACAGAGTTGAAACTATGTTTTGATTCAGCAGTTTTGAGTCTCTCTTTTTGCAGAATCTGCGAGTGGATATCTGGAGAACTTGGAGGCCTATTTGGAAAAGGAAATATCTTCACATATAAACTATGCAGAAGCATTTTGAGATTCTTCTTTGTGAGGTGTGCATGCAACTCACAGAGTTGAACTTATCTTTTCCTTGAGCACTTTCATATCTCATTTTCTGTAGAATCTGCAAGTGGATATTTGGAGCTCTTTGCACCCTGTGGTGGAAAGGGAACTATCTTCATATAAAAACTACAAAGAAGCATTCAGAGAAACTTCTTGTGATGAATGCATTCCTCACACAGAGCTGAACCTTTCTTTTTATGGAGCAGTATTGAAACGCTCTTTTTGCAGAATCACCAAGTGGATATTTGGAGAGCTTTGGGGCCTGTTTTGGAAAATGAAATTCTTCAAAGTAAAACTACACAGAACCATTCTGAGAAACTTCTTCATGATGTGAGCATTCAACTCTCAGTAGTTGAAGCTACCTTATGATTGAGCAATTTGGAAACACTCTTTTTGTAGAGCCTGCAAGTGGATATTTAGAACGATTTGAGGCCTATTGTGGAAAAGCAAATATCTTCACATAAAAACTACACAGAAGCATTCTCAGAAACTTCTTTGGGATGTGTGCATTCAACTAACAGTGTTGAACCTATCTTTTGATTGAGCAGCTTAGAATCTCTCCTTTTGTAGAAAATGCAAGTAGAGATTTGGAGCCCCATTTCGCCCTATGGTAGAAAACAGAACATCTTCACATAAAAACTACACAGAAGCATTCTGAGAAACTTCTTTGTGATGTTTGCATTGAACTCCCAGAGTCGAACCTATCTTTTGATAGAGCAGTTTTGTATCTCTCTTTTTGCAGAATCTGCAAGTGGATATTTGGAAAGCTTGAGGCCTATTGTGAAAAAGGAAATATCTTCACATAGAAACTACAGAGAAGCATTCTGAGAAACTTCTCTGTGAGGCATGGATTCAACCCACAGAATTGGACTTATCATTGAGCAGTTTTGAATCTCTCTTTTGGTCGAATCTGCAAGTGGGTATTTGGAGCCCTTTTGCAACCTATGGCGGAAAAGGAAACACCTTCACCTAAAAACTATATAGAAGCATTCCGAAAAACTTCTTTGTGATGTGTGCATTCATCTCACAGAGTTGAACCTATCTAATGATTGAGCAGTTTTGAAACACTCATTTTGTAGAACCTGGAAGTGGATATTGGGAGTAGTTTGTGGCCTTCTTTGGAAAAGGAAATATCTTCACATGAAAACTACAAAGAAGCATTCTGAGAAACTTCTTTGTGATGTGTGCATGCATCTCACAGTGTTGGACGTTTCTTTTGATAGGGCAGTTTCGAAAGAGTCTTCTTGTAGAGTCTGCAAGTGGATATTTGGAGCGCTTTGAGGCCTAATGTGGAAAATCAAATATCTTCACATAAAAACTACACAGAGGCATTCTGAGAAACTTCTTTTTTGTGTGTGCATTCAACTCACATAGTTGAAGTTATCTTTGGATTTAGCTGTTTTGAATCTCCTTTTTGCAGAATCTGCAAGTTGATACTTGGAGCCCTGTTTCACCCTATAGTGGAAAAGCAAATATCTCCACATAAACAAACACTACAGAGAAGCATTCAGAGAAAGTCCTTTGTGATGTGTGCATTGAACACGCAGAGTTGAAACTATCTTTTGATTGTACAGTTTTGAATATCTCTTTTTGTAGAATCTGCAAGTGGAAGTTTGGAGCTGTTTGCACGCTGTGGTGCAAAAGGAAATATCTTCATATAAAAACTACACAGAAGCTTTCAGAGAGACTTCTTTGTGAGGAATGCGTTCCTCACACAGAGTTGAATCTACCTTTTTATTGAGTAGTTTTGAAACCCTCTTTTTGCAGAATAACCAGGGGGATATTTGGAGAGCTTTGAGGCCTGTTTTGGAAAAGGAAATATCTTCAAATTAAAACCACACAGAAGCATTCTGAGAAACTTCTTTGTGATGTGTGCATTCAACTCTCAGAGTTGAACGTGTCTTATGATGGAGCAGTTTGGAAACACTCTTTTTGTAGAAACTGCAAGTGGATATGTAGAGCGATTTGAGGCCTACTGTGGAAAAGCAAATATCTTCACATAACAACTACACAGAAGCACTCCTAGAAACTTCTTTGTGATGTGTGAATTCAACTCACAGAGCTGAACCTATCTTTTGATGGAGTAGCTTAGAATGTCTCTTTTTTTAGAATCTGCACGTGGATATTTGGAGCGCTTTGAGACCTAAAGTGGAAAAGCAAATATCTTCACATAAAATCTACATAGAGGCACTCTAAGAAACTTCTTTTTGATGTGTGCATTCAACTCACAGAGCGGAAGCACACAGTGCTTGAGTGACCAGTTTTGAATCTCTCTTTTTGTACAATCTGCAAGTGGATATTGGGAGCCCTTTGCGGCCTGTGGTGGAAAAGGAAATATCTTCAAATAAAAACTACACAGAAGCATTCTGAGAAACTTCTTTGTGATGTGTACATTCATCTCACAGAGTTGACAATTTCTTTTGATTGAGCAGTTTTGAAACACTGCTTTTGTAGAGTCTGGAAGTTGATATTTGGAGGGCTTTGAGGTCTATTTCGGAAAAGAAAATATCTTCACTTAAAAACTAGGCAGAAATACTGTGAGAAACTTCTTTGTTATGTGAGCATTCAACTCACAGAGCTGAACCTATCTTTTGATTGAGCAGTTTTGAATCTCTCATTTTGCAGAATCTGCAAGGGGATATTTGGAGCCCTTTGCTACCTAGGGTGGAAAAGGAAATACCTCCAAATAAAAACTACACAGAGGCATTCTGAGAAACTTCTTGTGATTGTGCATTCAACTCACAGAGTTAAACCTATCTTATGATTGACCAGTTTTGGAACACTGTTTTCACAGGATCTGCAAGTGGATATTTGGTGTGCTTTGAGGCCTATCGTGGAAAAGCAAGTAACTTCAGATAAAAACTATACAGAAGCATTCTGAGAAACTTCTTTGTGATGTGTGCATTGATCTCACAGAGTTGAAAGTGTATTTTGATTGAGCAGTTTTAAAACACTCCTTCTGTAGAATCTGCAAGTGGATAATTGGAGAGATTTGAGGTATGTTGTGGAAAAGCAAATATCTTCATATAAAAACTATACAGAAGCCTTCTGAGAAACATCTTTGTGAGGTTTGCATTCAACTCACAGAGCTGGACCTATCTCTTGAGTGACCAGTTTTGAATCTCTCTTTTTGTTCAATCTGCAAGTGGATATTTGGAGCGATTTGAGGCCTACATTTGAAAATCAAATATCTTCCCTTAAAAACTACACAGAAACATTCTCAGAAATTGTTTGTCATGTGGGCTTTCAAATTACCAAGTTGAACCTATCTTGTGATTGAGCAGTTCTGAATCTCTCTTTTTGTGGAATCTGCAAATGGATATTTTTAGCCCTTTGCGGACTGTGGTGGAAAAGGAATTATCTTCAAATCCATTCTACACAGAAGCATTCAGACAAACTTCTTGGTGATGAGTGCATTGGTCACACAGAATTGAACCTCTCCTTTGATTGAGCAATTCTGAAACACTCTTTCAGAGGGTCTGCAAGTGGATATTTTAGAGCTTTGGGACAATTGTGGAAAAGTAAATATCTTCACATAGAAACTACACGGAAGCATTCTGAGAAACTTCTTTGGAGGTGTGCATTCAACTCACAGAGTTGAACCTATCTTTTCATTGAGCAGTTTTGAATCTCTCTTTTTGTAGACTCTGCTTGCAGATATTTGGAGAGCTTTGAGGCCTATTGTGGAAAAGGGAATATGTTCACATAAAAACACACAGAAGCACTCTGAGAAACTTCTTTGTGAGGTGTGCATTCAACTCACAGAGTTGAACCTATCTTTTGATGGAGAAGTTTTGAATCTCTCTTTTTGTAGAAGCTGCATGTGGATATTTGGAGACGTTTGTGGCCTATGGTAGAAAAGGATATATCTTCAAATAAAAACTAGACAGAAGCATTTTGAGAAAATTCTCTGTGCTGTGTGCATTCATATCACATGGTTGAAACTACCTTTTGATTGAGCAGTTTCGAGTCTCTCTGTTTGTACCATCTGCAATGGATATTTGGAGCCCTTTGTGGTCCTGTGGTGGAAAAGGAACTATCCTCAAATAAAAACTACACGGAAGTATTCCGAGAAACTTCCTTGTGATGTGTGCATTCATCTCACAGGGTTGAACCTTTGGTTTGATTGAGCAGTTTTGAGACAATCTTTCCATAGAATCTGGAAGTGAATATTTGGAGAACCTTGAGATCTATTTTGGAGAAGGAGATATCTTTATATGAAAACTGCACAGAAGCATTCTGAGAAACATCTTTGTGAGGTGTGCAATGAAGTCACAGAGTTGAAACTATGTTTTGATTCAGCAGTTTTGAGTCTCTCTTTTTGCAGAATCTGCGAGTGGATATCTGGAGAACTTGGAGGCCTATTTGGAAAAGGAAATATCTTCACATATAAACTATGCAGAAGCATTTTGAGATTCTTCTTTGTGAGGTGTGCATTCAACTCACAGAGTTGAACTTATCTTTTCCTTGAGCACTTTCATATCTCATTTTCTGTAGAATCTGCAAGTGGATATTTGGAGCTCTTTGCACCCTGTGGTGGAAAGGGAACTATCTTCATATAAAAACTACAAAGAAGCATTCAGAGAAACTTCTTGTGATGAATGCATTCCTCACACAGAGCTGAACCTTTCTTTTTATGGAGCAGTATTGAAACGCTCTTTTTGCAGAATCACCAAGTGGATATTTGGAGAGCTTTGGGGCCTGTTTTGGAAAATGAAATATCTTCAAAGTAAAACTACACAGAACCATTCTGAGAAACTTCTTTATGATGTGTGCATTCAACTCTCAGAGTTGAACCTACCTTATGATTGAGCAATTTGGAAACACTCTTTTTGTAGAGCCTGCAAGTGGATATTTAGAACGATTTGAGGCCTATTGTGGAAAAGCAAATATCTTCACATAAAAACTACACAGAAGCATTCTGAGAAACTTCTTTGGCATGTGTGCATTCAACTAACAGTGTTGAACGTATCTTTTGATTGAGCAGCTTAGAATCTCTCTTTTTGTAGAAAATGCAAGTAGATATTTGGAGCCCCATTTTGCCCTATGGTAGAAAACAAAACATCTTCACATAAAATCTACACAGAAGCATTCTGAGAAACTTCTTTGTGATGTTTGCATTGAACTCCCAGAGTCGAACCTATCTTTTGATAGAGCACTTTTGTATCTCTCTTTTTGCGGAATCTGCAAGTGGATATTTGGAAAGCTTGAGGCCTATTGTGAAAAAGGAAATATCTTCACATAAAAACTACAGAGAAGCATTCTGAGAAACTTCTTTGTGAGGCATGGATTCAACCCACAGAGTTGGACTTGTCATTGAGCAGTTTTGAATCTCTCTTTTTGTCGAATCTGCAAGTGGATATTTGGAGCCCTTTGCAACCTAGGGTGGAAAAGGAAATACCTTCAAATAAAAACTATATAGAAGCATTCCGTAAAACTTCTTTGTGACGTGTGCATTCGTCTCACAGAGTTGAACCTATCTAATGATTGAGCGGTTTTGAAACACTCATTTTGTAGAACCTGCAAGTGGATATTGGGAGTACTTTGTGGCCTTCTTTGGAAAAGGGAATATCTTCACATAAAAACTACAAAGAAGCATTCTGAGAAACTTCTTTGTGATGTGTGCATTCATCTCACAGTGTTGGACGTTTCTTTTGATAGGGCAGTTTTGAAACACTCTTTTTCTAGAATCTGCAAGTGGATATTTGGAGCGCTTTGAGGCCTAATGTGGAAAATCAAATATCTTCACATAAAAACTACACAGAGGCATTCTGAGAAACTTCTTTTTTGTGTGTGCATTCAACTCACATAGTTGAAGTAATCTTTGGATTTAGCTGTTTTGAATCTCCTTTTTGCAGAATCTGCAAGTTGATACTTGGAGCCCTGTTTCACCCTATAGTGGAAAAGCAAATGTCTTCACATAAACAAACCCTACAGAGAAGCATTCAGAGAAAGTCCTTTGTGATGTGTGCATTGAACATGCAGAGTTGACACTATCTTTTGATTGTACAGTTTTGAATACGTCTTTTTGTAGAATCTGCAAGTGGAAGTTTGGAGCTGTTTGCACCCTGTGGTGTAAAAGGAAATATCTTCATATAAAAGCTACACAGAAGCATTCAGAAAGACTTCTTTGTGATGAATGCGTTCCTCACACAGAGTTGAATCTTCCTTTTTATTGAGTAGTATTGAAACCCTCTTTTTGCAGAATAACCAGGTGGATATTTGGAGAGCTTTGAGGCCTGTTTTGGAAAAGCAAATATCTTCAAATTAAAACCACACAGAAGCATTCTGAGAAGCTTCTTTGTGATGTGTGCATTCAACTCTCAGAGTTCAACGTGTCTTATGATGGAGCAGTTTGGAAACACTCTTTTTTGTAGAAACTGCAAGTGGATATGTAGAGCGATTTGAGGCCTACTGTGGAAAAGCAAATATCTTCACATAACAACTACACAGAAGCACTCCTAGAAACTTCTTTGTGATGTGTGAATTCAACTCACAGAGCTGAACCTATCTTTTGATGGAGTAGCTTAGAATCTCTCTTTTTTTAGAATCTGCACGTGGATATTTGGAGCGCTTTGAGACCTAAAGTGGAAAAGCAAATATCTTCACATAAAATCTACATAGAGGCACTCTAAGAAACTTCTTTTTGATGTGTGCATTCACCTCACAGAGCTGAACCGATCCTTCGAGTGACCAGTTTTGAATCTCTCTTTTTATACAATCTGCAAGTGGATATTTGGAGCCCTTTGCGGCCTATGGTGGAAAAGGAAATATCTTCAAATAAAAACTACACAGAAATATTGTGAGAAACTTCTTTGTTATATGTGCATTCAACTCACAGAGTTGAACCTATCTTTTGATTGAGCAGTTTTGAATCTCTCATTTTGCAGAATCTGCAAATGGATATTTGGAGCCCTTTGCTACCTATGGTGGAAAAGGATATACCTTCAAATAAAAACTACACAGAGGCATTCTGAGAAACTTCCTCGTGATTGTGCATTCAACTCACAGAAGTTAAACCTATCTTATGATTGACCAGTTTTGGAACACTCTTTTCATAGGATCTGCAAGTGGATATTTGGCGTGCTTTGAGGCCTATCGTGGAAAAGCAAATAACTTCAGATAAAAACTATACAGAAGCATTCTGAGAAACTTCTTTGTGATGTGTGCATTGATCTCACAGAGTTGAAAGTGTATTTTGATTGAGCAGTTTTGAAACACTCTTTTTGTAGAATCTGCAAGTGGATAATTGGGGAGATTTGAGGTATATTGTGGAAAAGCAAGTATCTTCATATAAAAACTATACAGAAGCTTTCTGAGAAACATCTTTGTGAGGTTTGCATTCAACTCACAGAGCTGGAACTATCTTTTGAGTGACCAGTTTTGAATCTCTCTTTTTGTACAATCTGCAAGTGGATATTTGGAGCGTTTTGAGGCCTACATTTGAAAATCAAATATCTTCCCTTAAAAGCTACACAGAAACATTCTCAGAAATTGTTTGTCATGTGTGCTTTCAAATTACCAAGTTGAACCTACCTTGTGATTGAGCAGTTTTGAATCTCTCTTTTTGTGGAATCTGCAAGTGGATATTTTTAGCCATTTGCGGACTGTGGTGGAAAAGGAATTATCTTCAAATCCATTCTACACAGAAGCATTCAGACAAACTTTTTGTGATGAGTGCATTGGTCACACAGAATTGAACCTCTCCTTTGATTGAGCAATTCTGAAACACTCTTTCAGAGGGTCTGCAAGTGGATATTTTAGAGCTTTGGGACAATTGTGGAAAAGTAAATATCTTCACATAGAAACTACACGGAAGCATTCTGAGAAACTTCTTTGGAGGTGTGCATTCAACTCACAGAGTTGAACCTATCTTTTCATTGAGCAGTTTTGAATCTCTCTTTTTGTAGACTCTGCTTGCAGATACTTGGAGAGCTTTGAGGCCTATTGTGGAAAAGGAATCATCTTCACATAAAAACACACAGAAGCACTCTGAGAAACTTCTTTGTGAGGTGTGCATTCAACTCACAGAGTTGAACCTATCTTTTGATGGAGAAGTTTTGAATCTCTCTTTTTGTAGAAGCTGCATGTGGATATTTGGAGACGTTTGTGGCCTATGGTAGAAAAGGATATATCTTCAAATAAAAACTAGACAGAAGCATTTTGAGAAAATTCTCTGTGCTGTGTGCATTCATATCACATGGTTGAAACTACCTTTTGATTGAGCAGTTTCGAGTCTCTCTGTTTGTACCATCTGCAATGGATATTTGGAGCCCTTTGTGGTCTGTGGTGGAAAAGGAACTATCCTCAAATAAAAACTACACGGAAGTATTCTGAGAAACTTCTTTGTGATGTGTGCATTTATCTCACAGAGTTGAACCTTTGGTTTGATTGAGCAGTTTTGAGATAATCTTTCCATAGAATCTGGAAGTGAATACTTGGATAACTTTGAGATCTATTTTGGAGAAGGAGATATCTTTATATAAAAACTGCACAGAAGCATTCTGAGAAACATCTTTGTGAGGTGTGCAATGAAGTCACAGAGTTGAAACTGTCTTTTGATTCAGCAGTTTTGAGTCTCTCTTTTTGCAGAATCTGCGAGTGGATATCTGGAGAACGTTGAGGCCTACTTGGAAAAGGAAATATCTTCACATAAAAACTACGCAGAAGCATTTTGAGATACTTCTTTGTGAGGTGTGCATTCAACTCACAGAGTTGAACTTATCTTTCCATGGAGCACTTTCATATCTCTTTTTTTGTGGAATCTGCAAGTGGATATTTGGAGCTCTTTGCACCCTGTGGTGGAAAGGGAAATATCTTCATATAAAAACTACAAAGAAGCATTCAGAGAAACTTCTTTGTGATGAATGCATTCCTCACACAGAGTTGAGCCTTTCTTTTTATTGAGCAGTATTGAAACGCTCCTTTTGCAGAATCACCAAGTGGATATTTGGAGAGCTTTGGGGCCTGATTTGGAAAATGAAATATCTTCAAAGTAAAACTACACAGAACCATTCTGAGAAACTTCTTCATGATGTGAGCATTCAACTCTCAGAGTTGAACCTACCTTATGATTGAGCAATTTGGAAACACTCTTTTTGTAGAGCCTGCAAGTGGATATTTAGAACGATTTGAGGCCTATTGTGGAAAAGCAAATATCTTCACATAAAAACTACACAGAAGCATTCTCAGAAACTTCTTTGGGATGTGTGCATTCAACTAACAGTGTTGAACCTATCTTTTGATTGAGCAGCTTAGAATCTCTCCTTTTGTAGAAAATGCAAGTAGAGATTTGGAGCCCCATTTCGCCCTATGGTAGAAAACAGAACATCTTCACATAAAAACTACACAGAAGCATTCTGAGAAACTTCTTTGTGATGTTTGCATTGAACTCCCAGAGTCGAACCTATCTTTTGATAGAGCACTTTTGTATCTCTCTTTTTGCGGAATCTGCAAGTGGATATTTGGAAAGCTTGAGGCCTATTGTGAAAAAGGAAATATCTTCACATAAAAACTACAGAGAAGCATTCTGAGAAACTTCTTTGTGAGGCATGGATTCAACCCACAGAGTTGGACTTGTCATTGAGCAGTTTTGAATCTCTCTTTTTGTCGAATCTGCAAGTGGATATTTGGAGCCCTTTGTAACCTAGGGTGGAAAAGGAAATACCTTCAAATAAAAACTATATAGAAGCATTCCGTAAAACTTCTTTGTGACGTGTGCATTCGTCTCACAGAGTTGAACCTATCTAATGATTGAGCGGTTTTGAAACACTCATTTTGTAGAACCTGCAAGTGGATATTGGGAGTACTTTGTGGCCTTCTTTGGAAAAGGGAATATCTTCACATAAAAATTACAAAGAAGCATTCTGAGAAACTTCTTTGTGATGTGTGCATTCATCTCACAGTGTTGGACGTTTCTTTTGATAGGGCAGTTTTGAAACACTCTTTTTCTAGAATCTGCAAGTGGATATTTAGAGCGCTTTGAGGCCTAATGTGGAAAATCAAATATCTTCACATAAAAACTACACAGAGGCATTCTGAGAAACTTCTTTTTTGTGTGTGCATTCAACTCACATAGTTGAAGTAATCTTTGGATTTAGCTGTTTTGAATCTCCTTTTTGCAGAATCTGCAAGTTGATACTTGGAGCCCTGTTTCACCCTATAGTGGAAAAGCAAATGTCTTCACATAAACAAACCCTACAGAGAAGCATTCAGAGAAAGTCCTTTGTGATGTGTGCATTGAACATGCAGAGTTGACACTATCTTTTGATTGTACAGTTTTGAATACGTCTTTTTGTAGAATCTGCAAGTGGAAGTTTGGAGCTGTTTGCACCCTGTGGTGTAAAAGGAAATATCTTCATATAAAAGCTACACAGAAGCATTCAGAAAGACTTCTTTGTGATGAATGCGTTCCTCACACAGAGTTGAATCTTCCTTTTTATTGAGTAGTATTGAAACCCTCTTTTTGCAGAATAACCAGGTGGATATTCGGAGAGCTTTGAGGCCTGTTTTGGAAAAGGAAATATCTTCAAATTAAAACCACACAGAAGCATTCTGAGAAGCTTCTTTGTGATGTGTGCATTCAACTCTCAGAGTTGAACGTGTCTTATGATGGAGCAGTTTGGAAACACTCTTTTTGTAGAAACTGCAAGTGGATATGTAGAGCGATTTGAGGCCTACTGTGGAAAAGCAAATATCTTCACATAACAACTACACAGAAGCACTCCTAGAAACTTCTTTGTGATGTGTGAATTCAACTCACAGAGCTGAACCTATCTTTTGATGGAGTAGCTTAGAATCTCTCTTTTTTTAGAATCTGCACGTGGATATTTGGAGCGCTTTGAGACCTAAAGTGGAAAAGCAAATATCTTCACATAAAATCTACATAGAGGCACTCTAAGAAACTTCTTTTTGATGTGTGCATTCACCTCACAGAGCTGAACCGATCCTTTGAGTGACCAGTTTTGAATCTCTCTTTTTGTACAATCTGCAAGTGGATATTTGGAGCCCTTTGCGGCCTATGGTGGAAAAGGAAATATCTTCAAATAAAAACTACACAGAAGAAACTTCTTTGTTATGTGAGCATTCAACTCACAGAGTTGAACCTATCTTTTGATTGAGCAGTTTTGAATCTCTCATTTTGCAGAATCTGCAAGGGGATATTTGGAGCCCTTTGCGGCCTATGGTGGAAAAGGAAATACCTTCAAATGAAAAGCACACAGAGGCATTCTGAGAAACTTCCTCGTGATTGTGCATTCAACTCACAGAGTTAAACCTATCTTATGATTGACCAGTTTTGGAACACTCTTTTCATAGGATCTGCAAGTGGATATTTGGCGTGCTTTGAGGCCTATCGTGGAAAAGCAAACTATACAGAAGCATTCTGAGAAACTTCTTTGTGATGTGTGCATTGATCTCACAGAGTTGAAAGTGTATTTTGATTGAGCAGTTTTGAAACACTCTTTTTGTAGAATCTGCAAGTGGATAATTGGGGAGATTTGAGGTATATTGTGGAAAAGCAAGTATCTTCATATAAAAACTATACAGAAGCTTTCTGAGAAACATCTTTGTGAGGTTTGCATTCAACTCACAGAGCTGGAACTATCTTTTGAGTGACCAGTTTTGAATCTCTCTTTTTGTACAATCTGCAAGTGGATATTTGGAGCGTTTTGAGGCCTACATTTGAAAATCAAATATCTTCCCTTAAAAGCTACACAGAAACATTCTCAGAAATTGTTTGTCATGTGTGCTTTCAAATTACCAAGTTGAACCTACCTTGTGATTGAGCAGTTTTGAATCTCTCTTTTTGTGGAATCTGCAAGTGGATATTTTTAGCCATTTGCGGACTGTGGTGGAAAAGGAATTATCTTCAAATCCATTCTACACAGAAGCATTCAGACAAACTTTTTGTGATGAGTGCATTGGTCACACAGAATTGAACCTCTCCTTTGATTGAGCAATTCTGAAACACTCTTTCAGAGGGTCTGCAAGTGGATATTTTAGAGCTTTGGGACAATTGTGGAAAAGTAAATATCTTCACATAGAAACTACACGGAAGCATTCTGAGAAACTTCTTTGGAGGTGTACATTCAACTCACAGAGTTGAACCTATCTTTTCATTGAGCAGTTTTGAATCTCTCTTTTTGTAGACTCTGCTTGCAGATATTTGGAGAGCTTTGAGGCCTATTGTGGAAAAGGGATCATCTTCACATAAAAACACACAGAAGCACTCTGAGAAACTTCTTTGTGAAGTGTGCATTCAACTCACAGAGTTGAACCTATCTTTTGATTGAGAAGCTTTGAATCTCTCTTTTTGTAGAAGCTGCATGTGGATATTTGGAGACGTTTGTGGCCTATGGTAGAAAAGGCAATATCTTCAAATAAAAACTAGACAGAAGCATTTTGAGAAATTTCTCTGTGCTGTGTGCATTCATATCACATGGTTGAAACTACCTTTTGGTTGAGCAGTTTTGAATCTCTCTTTTTGTAACATCTGCAATGGATATTTGGAGCCCTTTGTGGTCTGTGGTGGAAAAGGAACTATCCTCAAATAAAAACTACACAGAAGTATTCCGAGAAACTTCCTTGTGATGTGTGCATTCATCTCACAGGGTTGAACCTTTGGTTTGATTGAGCAGTTTTGAGACAATCTTTCCATAGAATCTGGAAGTGAATATTTGGAGAACCTTGAGATCTATTTTGGAGAAGGAGATATCTTTATATGAAAACTGCACAGAAGCATTCTGAGAAACATCTTTGTGAGGTGTGCAATGAAGTCACAGAGTTGAAACTATGCTTTGATTCAGCAGTTTTGAGTCTCTCTTTTTGCAGAATCTGCGAGTGGATATCTGGAGAACTTGGAGGCCTATTTGGAAAAGGAAATATCTTCACATATAAACTATGCAGAAGCATTTTGAGATTCTTCTTTGTGAGGTGTGCATGCAACTAACAGAGTTGAACTTATCTTTTCCTTGAGCACTTTCGTATCTCATTTTCTGTAGAATCTGCAAGTGGATATTTGGAGCTCTTTGCACCCTGTGGTGGAAAGGGAACTATCTTCATATAAAAACTACAAAGAAGCATTCAGAGAAACTTCTTTGTGATGAATGCATTCCTCACACAGAGCTGAACGTTTCTTTTTATTGAGCAGTATTGAAACGCTCTTTTTGCAGAATCACCAAGTGGATATTTGGAGAGCTTTGGGGCCTGTTTTGGAAAATGAAATATCTTCAAAGTAAAACTACACAGAACCATTCTGAGAAACTTCTTTATGATGTGTGCATTCAACTCTCAGAGTTGAACCTACCTTATGATTGACCAATTTGGAAACACTCTTTTTGTAGAGCCTGCAAGTGGATATTTAGAACGATTTGAGGCCTATTGTGGAAAAGCAAATATCTTCACATAAAAACTACACAGAAGCATTCTGAGAAACTTCTTTGGCATGTGTGCATTCAACTAACAGTGTTGAACCTATCTTTTGATTGAGCAGCTTAGAATCTCTCTTTTTGTAGAAAATGCAAGTAGATATTTGGAGCCCCATTTTGCCCTATGGTAGAAAACAGAACATCTTCACATAAAAACTACACAGAAGCATTCTGAGAAACTTCTTTGTGATGTTTGCATTGAACTCCCAGAGTCGAACCTATCTTTTGATAGAGCACTTTTGTATCTCTCTTTTTGCGGAATCTGCAAGTGGATATTTGGAAAGCTTGAGACCTATTGTGAAAAAGGAAATATCTTCACATAAAAACTACAGAGAAGCATTCTGAGAAACTTCTTTGTGAGGCATGGATTCAACCCACAGAGTTGGACTTATCATTGAGCAGTTTTGAATCTCTCTTTTTGTCGAATCTGCAAGTGGATATTTGGAGCCCTTTGCAACCTAGGGTGGAAAAGGAAATACCTTCAAATAAAAACTATATAGAAGCATTCCGTAAAACTTCTTTGTGACGTGTGCATTCGTCTCACAGAGTTGAACCTATCTAATGATTGAGCGGTTTTGAAACACTCATTTTGTAGAACCTGCAAGTGGATATTGGGAGTACTTTGTGGCCTTCTTTGGAAAAGGGAATATCTTCACATAAAAATTACAAAGAAGCATTCTGAGAAACTTCTTTGTGATGTGTGCATTCATCTCACAGTGTTGGACGTTTCTTTTGATAGGGCAGTTTTGAAACACTCTTTTTCTAGAATCTGCAAGTGGATATTTAGAGCGCTTTGAGGCCTAATGTGGAAAATCAAATATCTTCACATAAAAACTACACAGAGGCATTCTGAGAAACTTCTTTTTTGTGTGTGCATTCAACTCACATAGTTGAAGTAATCTTTGGATTTAGCTGTTTTGAATCTCCTTTTTGCAGAATCTGCAAGTTGATACTTGGAGCCCTGTTTCACCCTATAGTGGAAAAGCAAATATCTTCACATAAACAAACCCTACAGAGAAGCATTCAGAGAAAGTCCTTTGTGATGTGTGCATTGAACATGCAGAGTTGACACTATCTTTTGATTGTACAGTTTTGAATACGTCTTTTTGTAGAATCTGCAAGTGGAAGTTTGGAGCTGTTTGCACCCTGTGGTGTAAAAGGAAATATCTTCATATAAAAGCTACACAGAAGCATTCAGAAAGACTTCTTTGTGATGAATGCGTTCCTCACACAGAGTTGAATCTTCCTTTTTATTGAGTAGTATTGAAACCCTCTTTTTGCAGAATAACCAGGTGGATATTCGGAGAGCTTTGAGGCCTGTTTTGGAAAAGGAAATATCTTCAAATTAAAACCACACAGAAGCATTCTGAGAAGCTTCTTTGTGATGTGTGCATTCAACTCTCAGAGTTGAACGTGTCTTATGATGGAGCAGTTTGGAAACACTCTTTTTGTAGAAACTGCAAGTGGATATGTAGAGCGATTTGAGGCCTACTGTGGTAAAGCAAATATACTTCACATAACAACTACACAGAAGCACTCCTAGAAACTTCTTTGTGATGTGTGAATTCAACTCACAGAGCTGAACCTATCTTTTGATGGAGTAGCTTAGAATCTCTCTTTTTTTAGAATCTGCACGTGGATATTTGGAGCGCTTTGAGACCTAAAGTGGAAAAGCAAATATCTTCACATAAAATCTACATAGAGGCACTCTAAGAAACTTCTTTTTGATGTGAGCATTCACCTCACAGAGCTGAACCGATCCTTCGAGTGACCAGTTTTGAATCTCTCTTTTTATACAATCTGCAAGTGGATATTTGGAGCCCTTTGCAGCCTATGGTGGAAAAGGAAATATCTTCAAATAAAAACTACACAGAAATACTGTGAGAAACTTCTTTGTTATGTGAGCATTCAACTCACAGAGTTGAACCTATCTTTTGATTGAGCAGTTTTGAATCTCTCATTTTGCAGAATCTGCAAGGGGATATTTGGAGCCCTTTGCGGCCTATGGTGGAAAAGGAAATACCTTCAAATGAAAAGCACACAGAGGCATTCTGAGAAACTTCCTCGTGATTGTGCATTCAACTCACAGAGTTAAACCTATCTTATGATTGACCAGTTTTGGAACACTCTTTTCATAGGATCTGCAAGTGGATATTTGGCGTGCTTTGAGGCCTATCGTGGAAAAGCAAATAACTTCAGATAAAAACTATACAGAAGCATTCTGAGAAACTTCTTTGTGATGTGTGCATTGATCTCACAGAGTTGAAAGTGTATTTTGATTGAGCAGTTTTGAAACACTCTTTTTGTAGAATCTGCAAGTGGATAATTGGGGAGATTTGAGGTATATTGTGGAAAAGCAAGTATCTTCATATAAAAACTATACAGAAGCTTTCTGAGAAACATCTTTGTGAGGTTTGCATTCAACTCACAGAGCTGGAACTATCTTTTGAGTGACCAGTTTTGAATCTCTCTTTTTGTACAATCTGCAAGTGGATATTTGGAGCGTTTTGAGGCCTACATTTGAAAATCAAATATCTTCCCTTAAAAGCTACACAGAAACATTCTCAGAAATTGTTTGTCATGTGTGCTTTCAAATTACCAAGTTGAACCTACCTTGTGATTGAGCAGTTTTGAATCTCTCTTTTTGTGGAATCTGCAAGTGGATATTTTTAGCCATTTGCGGACTGTGGTGGAAAAGGAATTATCTTCAAATCCATTCTACACAGAAGCATTCAGACAAACTTTTTGTGATGAGTGCATTGGTCACACAGAATTGAACCTCTCCTTTGATTGAGCAATTCTGAAACACTCTTTCAGAGGGTCTGCAAGTGGATATTTTAGAGCTTTGGGACAATTGTGGAAAAGTAAATATCTTCACATAGAAACTACACGGAAGCATTCTGAGAAACTTCTTTGGAGGTGTGCATTCAACTCACAGAGTTGAACCTATCTTTTCATTGAGCAGTTTTGAATCTCTCTTTTTGTAGACTCTGCTTGCAGATACTTGGAGAGCTTTGAGGCCTATTGTGGAAAAGGAATCATCTTCACATAAAAACACACAGAAAGCACTCTGAGAAACTTCTTTGTGAAGTGTGCATTCAACTCACAGAGTTGAACCTATCTTTTGATTGAGAAGCTTTGAATCTCTCTTTTTGTAGAAGCTGCATGTGGATATTTGGAGACGTTTGTGGCCTATGGTAGAAAAGGCAATATCTTCAAATAAAAACTAGACAGAGCATTTTGAGAAATTTCTCTGTGCTGTGTGCATTCATATCACATGGTTGAAACTACCTTTTGGTTGAGCAGTTTTGAATCTCTCTTTTTGTAACATCTGCAATGGATATTTGGAGCCCTTTGTGGTCTGTGGTGGAAAAGGAACTATCCTCAAATAAAAACTACACAGAAGTATTCCGAGAAACTTCCTTGTGATGTGTGCATTCATCTCACAGGGTTGAACCTTTGGTTTGATTGAGCAGTTTTGAGACAATCTTTCCATAGAATCTGGAAGTGAATATTTGGAGAACCTTGAGATCTATTTTGGAGAAGGAGATATCTTTATATGAAAACTGCACAGAAGCATTCTGAGAAACATCTTTGTGAGGTGTGCAATGAAGTCACAGAGTTGAAACTATGTTTTGATTCAGCAGTTTTGAGTCTCTCTTTTTGCAGAATCTGCGAGTGGATATCTGGAGAACTTGGAGGCCTATTTGGAAAAGGAAATATCTTCACATATAAACTATGCAGAAGCATTTTGAGATTCTTCTTTGTGAGGTGTGCATTCAACTCACAGAGTTGAACTTATCTTTTCCTTGAGCACTTTCATATCTCATTTTCTGTAGAATCTGCAAGTGGATATTTGGAGCTCTTTGCACCCTGTGGTGGAAAGGGAACTATCTTCATATAAAAACTACAAAGAAGCATTCAGAGAAACTTCTTGTGATGAATGCATTCCTCACACAGAGCTGAACCTTTCTTTTTATGGAGCAGTATTGAAACGCTCTTTTTGCAGAATCACCAAGTGGATATTTGGAGAGCTTTGGGGCCTGTTTTGGAAAATGAAATATCTTCAAAGTAAAACTACACAGAACCATTCTGAGAAACTTCTTTATGATGTGTGCATTCAACTCTCAGAGTTGAACCTACCTTATGATTGAGCAATTTGGAAACACTCTTTTTGTAGAGCCTGCAAGTGGATATTTAGAACGATTTGAGGCCTATTGTGGAAAAGCAAATATCTTCACATAAAAACTACACAGAAGCATTCTGAGAAACTTCTTTGGCATGTGTGCATTCAACTAACAGTGTTGAACGTATCTTTTGATTGAGCAGCTTAGAATCTCTCTTTTTGTAGAAAATGCAAGTAGATATTTGGAGCCCCATTTTGCCCTATGGTAGAAAACAAAACATCTTCACATAAAATCTACACAGAAGCATTCTGAGAAACTTCTTTGTGATGTTTGCATTGAACTCCCAGAGTCGAACCTATCTTTTGATAGAGCACTTTTGTATCTCTCTTTTTGCGGAATCTGCAAGTGGATATTTGGAAAGCTTGAGGCCTATTGTGAAAAAGGAAATATCTTCACATAAAAACTACAGAGAAGCATTCTGAGAAACTTCTTTGTGAGGCATGGATTCAACCCACAGAGTTGGACTTATCATTGAGCAGTTTTGAATCTCTCTTTTTGTCGAATCTGCAAGTGGATATTTGGAGCCCTTTGCAACCTAGGGTGGAAAAGGAAATACCTTCAAATAAAAACTATATAGAAGCATTCCGTAAAACTTCTTTGTGACGTGTGCATTCGTCTCACAGAGTTGAACCTATCTAATGATTGAGCGGTTTTGAAACACTCATTTGGTAGAACCTGCAAGTGGATATTGGGAGTACTTTGTGGCCTTCTTTGGAAAAGGGAATATCTTCACATAAAAACTACAAAGAAGCATTCTGAGAAACTTCTTTGTGATGTGTGCATTCATCTCACAGTGTTGGACGTTTCTTTTGATAGGGCAGTTTTGAAACACTCTTTTTCTAGAATCTGCAAGTGGATATTTGGAGCGCTTTGAGGCCTAATGTGGAAAATCAAATATCTTCACATAAAAACTACACAGAGGCATTCTGAGAAACTTCTTTTTTGTGTGTGCATTCAACTCACATAGTTGAAGTAATCTTTGGATTTAGCTGTTTTGAATCTCCTTTTTGCAGAATCTGCAAGTTGATACTTGGAGCCCTGTTTCACCCTATAGTGGAAAAGCAAATGTCTTCACATAAACAAACCCTACAGAGAAGCATTCAGAGAAAGTCCTTTGTGATGTGTGCATTGAACATGCAGAGTTGACACTATCTTTTGATTGTACAGTTTTGAATACGTCTTTTTGTAGAATCTGCAAGTGGAAGTTTGGAGCTGTTTGCACCCTGTGGTGTAAAAGGAAATATCTTCATATAAAAGCTACACAGAAGCATTCAGAAAGACTTCTTTGTGATGAATGCGTTCCTCACACAGAGTTGAATCTTCCTTTTTATTGAGTAGTATTGAAACCCTCTTTTTGCAGAATAACCAGGTGGATATTTGGAGAGCTTTGAGGCCTGTTTTGGAAAAGCAAATATCTTCAAATTAAAACCACACAGAAGCATTCTGAGAAGCTTCTTTGTGATGTGTGCATTCAACTCTCAGAGTTCAACGTGTCTTATGATGGAGCAGTTTGGAAACACTCTTTTTTGTAGAAACTGCAAGTGGATATGTAGAGCGATTTGAGGCCTACTGTGGAAAAGCAAATATCTTCACATAACAACTACACAGAAGCACTCCTAGAAACTTCTTTGTGATGTGTGAATTCAACTCACAGAGCTGAACCTATCTTTTGATGGAGTAGCTTAGAATCTCTCTTTTTTTAGAATCTGCACGTGGATATTTGGAGCGCTTTGAGACCTAAAGTGGAAAAGCAAATATCTTCACATAAAATCTACATAGAGGCACTCTAAGAAACTTCTTTTTGATGTGTGCATTCACCTCACAGAGCTGAACCGATCCTTCGAGTGACCAGTTTTGAATCTCTCTTTTTATACAATCTGCAAGTGGATATTTGGAGCCCTTTGCGGCCTATGGTGGAAAAGGAAATATCTTCAAATAAAAACTACACAGAAATACTGTGAGAAACTTCTTTGTTATGTGAGCATTCAACTCACAGAGTTGAACCTATCTTTTGATTGAGCAGTTTTGAATCTCTCATTTTGCAGAATCTGCAAGGGGATATTTGGAGCCCTTTGCGGCCTATGGTGGAAAAGGAAATACCTTCAAATGAAAAGCACACAGAGGCATTCTGAGAAACTTCCTCGTGATTGTGCATTCAACTCACAGAGTTAAACCTATCTTATGATTGACCAGTTTTGGAACACTCTTTTCATAGGATCTGCAAGTGGATATTTGGCGTGCTTTGAGGCCTATCGTGGAAAAGCAAATAACTTCAGATAAAAACTATACAGAAGCATTCTGAGAAACTTCTTTGTGATGTGTGCATTGATCTCACAGAGTTGAAAGTGTATTTTGATTGAGCAGTTTTGAAACACTCTTTTTGTAGAATCTGCAAGTGGATAATTGGGGAGATTTGAGGTATATTGTGGAAAAGCAAGTATCTTCATATAAAAACTATACAGAAGCTTTCTGAGAAACATCTTTGTGAGGTTTGCATTCAACTCACAGAGCTGGAACTATCTTTTGAGTGACCAGTTTTGAATCTCTCTTTTTGTACAATCTGCAAGTGGATATTTGGAGCGTTTTGAGGCCTACATTTGAAAATCAAATATCTTCCCTTAAAAGCTACACAGAAACATTCTCAGAAATTGTTTGTCATGTGTGCTTTCAAATTACCAAGTTGAACCTACCTTGTGATTGAGCAGTTTTGAATCTCTCTTTTTGTGGAATCTGCAAGTGGATATTTTTAGCCATTTGCGGACTGTGGTGGAAAAGGAATTATCTTCAAATCCATTCTACACAGAAGCATTCAGACAAACTTTTTGTGATGAGTGCATTGGTCACACAGAATTGAACCTCTCCTTTGATTGAGCAATTCTGAAGCACTCTTTCAGAGGGTCTGCAAGTGGATATTTTAGAGCTTTGGGACAATTGTGGAAAAGTAAATATCTTCACATAGAAACTACACGGAAGCATTCTGAGAAACTTCTTTGGAGGTGTGCATTCAACTCACAGAGTTGAACCTATCTTTTCATTGAGCAGTTTTGAATCTCTCTTTTTGTAGACTCTGCTTGCAGATATTTGGAGAGCTTTGAGGCCTATTGTGGAAAAGGAATCATCTTCACATAAAAACACACAGAAGCACTCTGAGAAACTTCTTTGTGAAGTGTGCATTCAACTCACAGAGTTGAACCTATCTTTTGATTGAGAAGCTTTGAATCTCTCTTTTTGTAGAAGCTGCATGTGGATATTTGGAGACGTTTGTGTCCTATGGTAGAAAAGGCAATATCTTCAAATAAAAACTAGACAGAAGCATTTTGAGAAATTTCTCTGTGCTGTGTGCATTCATATCACATGGTTGAAACTACCTTTTGATTGAGCAGTTTTGAATCTCTCTTTTTGTAACATCTGCAATGGATATTTGGAGCCCTTTGTGGTCTGTGGTGGAAAAGGAACTATCCTCAAATAAAAACTACACAGAAGTATTCCGAGAAACTTCCTTGTGATGTGTGCATTCATCTCACAGGGTTGAACCTTTGGTTTGATTGAGCAGTTTTGAGACAATCTTTCCATAGAATCTGGAAGTGAATATTTGGAGAACCTTGAGATCTATTTTGGAGAAGGAGATATCTTTATATGAAAACTGCACAGAAGCATTCTGAGAAACATCTTTGTGAGGTGTGCAATGAAGTCACAGGGTTGAAACTATGTTTTGATTCAGCAGTTTTGAGTCTCTCTTTTTGCAGAATCTGCGAGTGGATATCTGGAGAACTTGGAGGCCTATTTGGAAAAGGAAATATCTTCACATATAAACTATGCAGAAGCATTTTGAGATTCTTCTTTGTGAGGTGTGCATGCAACTCACAGAGTTGAACTTATCTTTTCCTTGAGCACTTTCATATCTCATTTTCTGTAGAATCTGCAAGTGGATATTTGGAGCTCTTTGCACCCTGTGGTGGAAAGGGAACTATCTTCATATAAAAACTACAAAGAAGCATTCAGAGAAACTTCTTGTGATGAATGCATTCCTCACACAGAGCTGAACCTTTCTTTTTATTGAGCAGTATTGAAACGCTCTTTTTGCAGAATCACCAAGTGGATATTTGGAGAGCTTTGGGGCCTGTTTTGGAAAATGAAATATCTTCAAAGTAAAACTACACAGAACCATTCTGAGAAACTTCTTTATGATGTGTGCATTCAACTCTCAGAGTTGAACCTACCTTATGATTGACCAATTTGGAAACACTCTTTTTGTAGAGCCTGCAAGTGGATATTTAGAACGATTTGAGGCCTATTGTGGAAAAGCAAATATCTTCACATAAAAACTACACAGAAGCATTCTGAGAAACTTCTTTGGCATGTGTGCATTCAACTAACAGTGTTGAACGTATCTTTTGATTGAGCAGCTTAGAATCTCTCTTTTTGTAGAAAATGCAAGTAGATATTTGGAGCCCCATTTTGCCCTATGGTAGAAAACAGAACATCTTCACATAAAAACTACACAGAAGCATTCTGAGAAACTTCTTTGTGATGTTTGCATTGAACTCCCAGAGTCGAACCTATCTTTTGATAGAGCACTTTTGTATCTCTCTTTTTGCGGAATCTGCAAGTGGATATTTGGAAAGCTTGAGGCCTATTGTGAAAAAGGAAATATCTTCACATAAAAACTACAGAGAAGCATTCTGAGAAACTTCTTTGTGAGGCATGGATTCAACCCACAGAGTTGGACTTATCATTGAGCAGTTTTGAATCTCTCTTTTTGTCGAATCTGCAAGTGGATATTTGGAGCCCTTTGCAACCTAGGGTGGAAAAGGAAATACCTTCAAATAAAAACTATATAGAAGCATTCCGTAAAACTTCTTTGTGACGTGTGCATTCGTCTCACAGAGTTGAACCTATCTAATGATTGAGCGGTTTTGAAACACTCATTTTGTAGAACCTGCAAGTGGATATTGGGAGTACTTTGTGGCCTTCTTTGGAAAAGGGAATATCTTCACATAAAAACTACAAAGAAGCATTCTGAGAAACTTCTTTGTGATGTGTGCATTCATCTCACAGTGTTGGACGTTTCTTTTGATAGGGCAGTTTTGAAACACTCTTTTTCTAGAATCTGCAAGTGGATATTTGGAGTGCTTTGAGGCCTAATGTGGAAAATCAAATATCTTCACATAAAAACTACACAGAGGCATTCTGAGAAACTTCTTTTTTGTGTGTGCATTCAACTCACATAGTTGAAGTAATCTTTGGATTTAGCTGTTTTGAATCTCCTTTTTGCAGAATCTGCAAGTTGATACTTGGAGCCCTGTTTCACCCTATAGTGGAAAAGCAAATATCTTCACATAAACAAACCCTACAGAGAAGCATTCAGAGAAAGTCCTTTGTGATGTGTGCATTGAACATGCAGAGTTGACACTATCTTTTGATTGTACAGTTTTGAATACGTCTTTTTGTAGAATCTGCAAGTGGAAGTTTGGAGCTGTTTGCACCCTGTGGTGTAAAAGGAAATATCTTCATATAAAAGCTACACAGAAGCATTCAGAAAGACTTCTTTGTGATGAATGCGTTCCTCACACAGAGTTGAATCTTCCTTTTTATTGAGTAGTATTGAAACCCTCTTTTTGCAGAATAACCAGGTGGATATTCGGAGAGCTTTGAGGCCTGTTTTGGAAAAGGAAATATCTTCAAATTAAAACCACACAGAAGCATTCTGAGAAGCTTCTTTGTGATGTGTGCATTCAACTCTCAGAGTTGAACGTGTCTTATGATGGAGCAGTTTGGAAACACTCTTTTTGTAGAAACTGCAAGTGGATATGTAGAGCGATTTGAGGCCTACTGTGGAAAAGCAAATATCTTCACATAACAACTACACAGAAGCACTCCTAGAAACTTCTTTGTGATGTGTGAATTCAACTCACAGAGCTGAACCTATCTTTTGATGGAGTAGCTTAGAATCTCTCTTTTTTTAGAATCTGCACGTGGATATTTGGAGCGCTTTGAGACCTAAAGTGGAAAAGCAAATATCTTCACATAAAATCTACATAGAGGCACTCTAAGAAACTTCTTTTTGATGTGTGCATTCACCTCACAGAGCTGAACCGATCCTTTGAGTGACCAGTTTTGAATCTCTCTTTTTGTACAATCTGCAAGTGGATATTTGGAGCCCTTTGCGGCCTATGGTGGAAAAGGAAATATCTTCAAATAAAAACTACACAGAAGAAACTTCTTTGTTATGTGAGCATTCAACTCACAGAGTTGAACCTATCTTTTGATTGAGCAGTTTTGAATCTCTCATTTTGCAGAATCTGCAAGGGGATATTTGGAGCCCTTTGCGGCCTATGGTGGAAAAGGAAATACCTTCAAATGAAAAGCACACAGAGGCATTCTGAGAAACTTCCTCGTGATTGTGCATTCAACTCACAGAGTTAAACCTATCTTATGATTGACCAGTTTTGGAACACTCTTTTCATAGGATCTGCAAGTGGATATTTGGCGTGCTTTGAGGCCTATCGTGGAAAAGAGCATTCTGAGAAACTTCTTTGTGATGTGTGCATTGATCTCACAGAGTTGAAAGTGTATTTTGATTGAGCAGTTTTGAAACACTCTTTTTGTAGAATCTGCAAGTGGATAATTGGGGAGATTTGAGGTATATTGTGGAAAAGCAAGTATCTTCATATAAAAACTATACAGAAGCTTTCTGAGAAACATCTTTGTGAGGTTTGCATTCAACTCACAGAGCTGGAACTATCTTTTGAGTGACCAGTTTTGAATCTCTCTTTTTGTACAATCTGCAAGTGGATATTTGGAGCGTTTTGAGGCCTACATTTGAAAATCAAATATCTTCCCTTAAAAGCTACACAGAAACATTCTCAGAAATTGTTTGTCATGTGTGCTTTCAAATTACCAAGTTGAACCTACCTTGTGATTGAGCAGTTTTGAATCTCTCTTTTTGTGGAATCTGCAAGTGGATATTTTTAGCCATTTGCGGACTGTGGTGGAAAAGGAATTATCTTCAAATCCATTCTACACAGAAGCATTCAGACAAACTTTTTGTGATGAGTGCATTGGTCACACAGAATTGAACCTCTCCTTTGATTGAGCAATTCTGAAACACTCTTTCAGAGGGTCTGCAAGTGGATATTTTAGAGCTTTGGGACAATTGTGGAAAAGTAAATATCTTCACATAAAAACTACACGGAAGCATTCTGAGAAACTTCTTTGGAGGTGTGCATTCAACTCACAGAGTTGAACCTATCTTTTCATTGAGCAGTTTTGAATCTCTCTTTTTGTAGACTCTGCTTGCAGATATTTGGAGAGCTTTGAGGCCTATTGTGGAAAAGGGATCATCTTCACATAAAAACACACAGAAGCACTCTGAGAAACTTCTTTGTGAAGTGTGCATTCAACTCACAGAGTTGAACCTATCTTTTGATTGAGAAGCTTTGAATCTCTCTTTTTGTAGAAGCTGCATGTGGATATTTGGAGACGTTTGTGGCCTATGGTAGAAAAGGCAATATCTTCAAATAAAAACTAGACAGAAGCATTTTGAGAAATTTCTCTGTGCTGTGTGCATTCATATCACATGGTTGAAACTACCTTTTGATTGAGCAGTTTTGAATCTCTCTTTTTGTACCATCTGCAATGGATATTTGGAGCCCTTTGTGGTCTGTGGTGGAAAAGGAACTATCCTCAAATAAAAACTACACAGAAGTATTCCGAGAAACTTCCTTGTGATGTGTGCATTCATCTCATAGGGTTGAACCTTTGGTTTGATTGAGCAGTTTTGAGACAATCTTTCCATAGAATCTGGAAGTGAATATTTGGAGAACCTTGAGATCTATTTTGGAGAAGGAGATATCTTTATATAAAAACTGCACAGAAGCATTCTGAGAAACATCTTTGTGAGGTGTGCAATGAAGTCACAGTGTTGAAACTATGTTTTGATTCAGCAGTTTTGAGTCTCTCTTTTTGCAGAATCTGCGAGTGGATATCTGGAGAACTTGGAGGCCTATTTGGAAAAGGAAATATCTCCACATATAAACTATGCAGAAGCATTTTGAGATTCTTCTTTGTGAGGTGTGCATGCAACTCACAGAGTTGAACTTATCTTTTCCTTGAGCACTTTCGTATCTCATTTTCTGTAGAATCTGCAAGTGGATATTTGGAGCTCTTTGCACCCTGTGGTGGAAAGGGAACTATCTTCATATAAAAACTACAAAGAAGCATTCAGAGAAACTTCTTTGTGATGAATGCATTCCTCACACAGAGCTGAACGTTTCTTTTTATTGAGCAGTATTGAAACGCTCTTTTTGCAGAATCACCAAGTGGATATTTGGAGAGCTTTGGGGCCTGTTTTGGAAAATGAAATATCTTCAAAGTAAAACTACACAGAACCATTCTGAGAAACTTCTTTATGATGTGTGCATTCAACTCTCAGAGTTGAACCTACCTTATGATTGACCAATTTGGAAACACTCTTTTTGTAGAGCCTGCAAGTGGATATTTAGAACGATTTGAGGCCTATTGTGGAAAAGCAAATATCTTCACATAAAAACTACACAGAAGCATTCTGAGAAACTTCTTTGGCATGTGTGCATTCAACTAACAGTGTTGAACGTATCTTTTGATTGAGCAGCTTAGAATCTCTCTTTTTGTAGAAAATGCAAGTAGATATTTGGAGCCCCATTTTGCCCTATGGTAGAAAACAGAACATCTTCACATAAAAACTACACAGAAGCATTCTGAGAAACTTCTTTGTGATGTTTGCATTGAACTCCCAGAGTCGAACCTATCTTTTGATAGAGCACTTTTGTATCTCTCTTTTTGCGGAATCTGCAAGTGGATATTTGGAAAGCTTGAGGCCTATTGTGAAAAAGGAAATATCTTCACATAAAAACTACAGAGAAGCATTCTGAGAAACTTCTTTGTGAGGCATGGATTCAACCCACAGAGTTGGACTTATCATTGAGCAGTTTTGAATCTCTCTTTTTGTCGAATCTGCAAGTGGATATTTGGAGCCCTTTGCAACCTAGGGTGGAAAAGGAAATACCTTCAAATAAAAACTATATAGAAGCATTCCGTAAAACTTCTTTGTGACGTGTGCATTCGTCTCACAGAGTTGAACCTATCTAATGATTGAGCGGTTTTGAAACACTCATTTTGTAGAACCTGCAAGTGGATATTGGGAGTACTTTGTGGCCTTCTTTGGAAAAGGGAATATCTTCACATAAAAATTACAAAGAAGCATTCTGAGAAACTTCTTTGTGATGTGTGCATTCATCTCACAGTGTTGGACGTTTCTTTTGATAGGGCAGTTTTGAAACACTCTTTTTCTAGAATCTGCAAGTGGATATTTAGAGCGCTTTGAGGCCTAATGTGGAAAATCAAATATCTTCACATAAAAACTACACAGAGGCATTCTGAGAAACTTCTTTTTTGTGTGTGCATTCAACTCACAATAGTTGAAGTAATCTTTGGATTTAGCTGTTTTGAATCTCCTTTTTGCAGAATCTGCAAGTTGATACTTGGAGCCCTGTTTCACCCTATAGTGGAAAAGCAAATGTCTTCACATAAACAAACCCTACAGAGAAGCATTCAGAGAAAGTCCTTTGTGATGTGTGCATTGAACATGCAGAGTTGACACTATCTTTTGATTGTACAGTTTTGAATACGTCTTTTTGTAGAATCTGCAAGTGGAAGTTTGGAGCTGTTTGCACCCTGTGGTGTAAAAGGAAATATCTTCATATAAAAGCTACACAGAAGCATTCAGAAAGACTTCTTTGTGATGAATGCGTTCCTCACACAGAGTTGAATCTTCCTTTTTATTGAGTAGTATTGAAACCCTCTTTTTGCAGAATAACCAGGTGGATATTTGGAGAGCTTTGAGGCCTGTTTTGGAAAAGGAAATATCTTCAAATTAAAACCACACAGAAGCATTCTGAGAAGCTTCTTTGTGATGTGTGCATTCAACTCTCAGAGTTCAACGTGTCTTATGATGGAGCAGTTTGGAAACACTCTTTTTTGTAGAAACTGCAAGTGGATATGTAGAGCGATTTGAGGCCTACTGTGGAAAAGCAAATATCTTCACATAACAACTACACAGAAGCACTCCTAGAAACTTCTTTGTGATGTGTGAATTCAACTCACAGAGCTGAACCTATCTTTTGATGGAGTAGCTTAGAATCTCTCTTTTTTTAGAATCTGCACGTGGATATTTGGAGCGCTTTGAGACCTAAAGTGGAAAAGCAAATATCTTCACATAAAATCTACATAGAGGCACTCTAAGAAACTTCTTTTTGATGTGTGCATTCACCTCACAGAGCTGAACCGATCCTTCGAGTGACCAGTTTTGAATCTCTCTTTTTATACAATCTGCAAGTGGATATTTGGAGCCCTTTGCGGCCTATGGTGGAAAAGGAAATATCTTCAAATAAAAACTACACAGAAGAAACTTCTTTGTTATGTGAGCATTCAACTCACAGACTTGAACCTATCTTTTGATTGAGCAGTTTTGAATCTCTCATTTTGCAGAATCTGCAAGGGGATATTTGGAGCCCTTTGCGGCCTATGGTGGAAAAGGAAATACCTTCAAATGAAAAGCACACAGAGGCATTCTGAGAAACTTCTTTGTGATTGTGCATTCAACTCAAAAAGTTAAACCTATCTTATGATTGACCAGTTTGGGAACACTCTTTTCATAGGATCTGCAAGTGGATATTTGGCGTCCTTTGAGGTCTATCGTGGAAAAGCAAATAACTTCAGATAAAAACTATACAGAAGCATTCTGAGAAACTTCTTTGTGATGTGTGCATTGATCTCACAAAGTTGAAACTTTATTTTGATTGAGCAGTTTTGAAACACTCTTTTTGTAGAATCTGCAAGTGGATAATTGGGGAGATTTGAGGAATATTGTGGAAAAGCAAATATCTTCCGATAAAAACTACACAGAAGCCTTCTGAGAAACATCTTTGTGAGGTTTGCATTCAACTCACAGAGTAGAAGCTATCTTTTGATTGAGGAGTTTTGAATCTCTCTTTTTTCAGAATCTGCAAGTGGATATTTGGAGCGCTTTGAGGCCTACTTTTGAAAATCAAATATCTTCCCTTAAAAACTACACAGAAGCATTCTCAGAAATTGTTTGTCATGTGTGCTTCCTAATCACCGAGTTGAACCTATCTTGTGATTGAGCAGTTTTGAATCTCCCTTTTTGTAGAATCTACAAGTGGATATTTTTAGTCCTTTGTAGACTGTGGTGGAAAAGAAATTATCTTGAAATCAATTCTACACAGAAGCATTCAGACAAACTTCTTTGTGATGAGTGCATTCGTCACACAGAGTTGATCCTTTCCTTTGATTGAGCAACTCTGAAACACTCTTTTAGAGGGTCTGCAAGTGGATATTTTAGAGCTTTGGGACAATTGTGGAAAAGTAAATATCTTCACATAAAAACTACACAGAAGCATTCTGAGAAACTTCTTTGTGAGATGTGCATTCAACTCACAGAGTTGAACCTATCTTTTCATTGAGCAGTTTTGAATCTCTCTTTTTGTAGACTCTGCTTGCGGATATTTGGAGAGCTTTGAGGCCTATTGTGGAAAAGGAAATATCTTCACATAAAAACACACAGAAAGCACTCTGAGAAACTTCTTTGTGAAGTGTGCATTCAACTCACAGAGTTGAACCTATCTTTTGATTGAGAAGCTTTGAATCTCTCTTTTTGTAGAAGCTGCATGTGGATATTTGGAGACGTTTGTGGCCTATGGTAGAAAAGGCAATATCTTCAAATAAAAACTAGACAGAGCATTTTGAGAAATTTCTCTGTGCTGTGTGCATTCATATCACATGGTTGAAACTACCTTTTGATTGAGCAGTTTTGAATCTCTCTTTTTGTACCATCTGCAATGGATATTTGGAGCCCTTTGTGGTCTGTGGTGGAAAAGGAACTATCCTCAAATAAAAACTACACAGAAGTATTCCGAGAAACTTCCTTGTGATGTGTGCATTCATCTCATAGGGTTGAACCTTTGGTTTGATTGAGCAGTTTTGAGACAATCTTTCCATAGAATCTGGAAGTGAATATTTGGAGAACCTTGAGATCTATTTTGGAGAAGGAGATATCTTTATATAAAAACTGCACAGAAGCATTCTGAGAAACATCTTTGTGAGGTGTGCAATGAAGTCACAGAGTTGAAACTATGTTTTGATTCAGCAGTTTTGAGTCTCTCTTTTTGCAGAATCTGCGAGTGGATATCTGGAGAACTTGGAGGCCTATTTGGAAAAGGAAATATCTTCACATATAAACTATGCAGAAGCATTTTGAGATTCTTCTTTGTGAGGTGTGCATGCAACTCACAGAGTTGAACTTATCTTTTCCTTGAGCACTTTCGTATCTCATTTTCTGTAGAATCTGCAAGTGGATATTTGGAGCTCTTTGCACCCTGTGGTGGAAAGGGAACTATCTTCATATAAAAACTACAAAGAAGCATTCAGAGAAACTTCTTTGTGATGAATGCATTCCTCACACAGAGCTGAACCTTTCTTTTTATTGAGCAGTATTGAAACGCTCTTTTTGCAGAATCACCAAGTGGATATTTGGAGAGCTTTGGGGCCTGTTTTGGAAAATGAAATATCTTCAAAGTAAAACTACACAGAACCATTCTGAGAAACTTCTTTATGATGTGTGCATTCAACTCTCAGAGTTGAACCTACCTTATGATTGACCAATTTGGAAACACTCTTTTTGTAGAGCCTGCAAGTGGATATTTAGAACGATTTGAGGCCTATTGTGGAAAAGCAAATATCTTCACATAAAAACTACACAGAAGCATTCTGAGAAACTTCTTTGGCATGTGTGCATTCAACTAACAGTGTTGAACGTATCTTTTGATTGAGCAGCTTAGAATCTCTCTTTTTGTAGAAAATGCAAGTAGATATTTGGAGCCCCATTTTGCCCTATGGTAGAAAACAGAACATCTTCACATAAAAACTACACAGAAGCATTCTGAGAAACTTCTTTGTGATGTTTGCATTGAACTCCCAGAGTCGAACCTATCTTTTGATAGAGCACTTTTGTATCTCTCTTTTTGCGGAATCTGCAAGTGGATATTTGGAAAGCTTGAGGCCTATTGTGAAAAAGGAAATATCTTCACATAAAAACTACAGAGAAGCATTCTGAGAAACTTCTTTGTGAGGCATGGATTCAACCCACAGAGTTGGACTTATCATTGAGCAGTTTTGAATGTCTCTTTTTGTCGAATCTGCAAGTGGATATTTGGAGCCCTTGGCAACCTAGGGTGGAAAAGGAAATACCTTCAAATAAAAACTATATAGAAGCATTCCGTAAAACTTCTTTGTGACGTGTGCATTCGTCTCACAGAGTTGAACCTATCTAATGATTGAGCGGTTTTGAAACACTCATTTTGTAGAACCTGCAAGTGGATATTGGGAGTACTTTGTGGCCTTCTTTGGAAAAGGGAATATCTTCACATAAAAATTACAAAGAAGCATTCTGAGAAACTTCTTTGTGATGTGTGCATTCATCTCACAGTGTTGGACGTTTCTTTTGATAGGGCAGTTTTGAAACACTCTTTTTCTAGAATCTGCAAGTGGATATTTAGAGCGCTTTGAGGCCTAATGTGGAAAATCAAATATCTTCACATAAAAACTACACAGAGGCATTCTGAGAAACTTCTTTTTTGTGTGTGCATTCAACTCACATAGTTGAAGTAATCTTTGGATTTAGCTGTTTTGAATCTCCTTTTTGCAGAATCTGCAAGTTGATACTTGGAGCCCTGTTTCACCCTATAGTGGAAAAGCAAATATCTTCACATAAACAAACCCTACAGAGAAGCATTCAGAGAAAGTCCTTTGTGATGTGTGCATTGAACATGCAGAGTTGACACTATCTTTTGATTGTACAGTTTTGAATACGTCTTTTTGTAGAATCTGCAAGTGGAAGTTTGGAGCTGTTTGCACCCTGTGGTGTAAAAGGAAATATCTTCATATAAAAGCTACACAGAAGCATTCAGAAAGACTTCTTTGTGATGAATGCGTTCCTCACACAGAGTTGAATCTTCCTTTTTATTGAGTAGTATTGAAACCCTCTTTTTGCAGAATAACCAGGTGGATATTTGGAGAGCTTTGAGGCCTGTTTTGGAAAAGGAAATATCTTCAAATTAAAACCACACAGAAGCATTCTGAGAAGCTTCTTTGTGATGTGTGCATTCAACTCTCAGAGTTGAACGTGTCTTATGATGGAGCAGTTTGGAAACACTCTTTTTGTAGAAACTGCAAGTGGATATGTAGAGCGATTTGAGGCCTACTGTGGAAAAGCAAATATCTTCACATAACAACTACACAGAAGCACTCCTAGAAACTTCTTTGTGATGTGTGAATTCAACTCACAGAGCTGAACCTATCTTTTGATGGAGTAGCTTAGAATCTCTCTTTTTTTAGAATCTGCACGTGGATATTTGGAGCGCTTTGAGACCTAAAGTGGAAAAGCAAATATCTTCACATAAAATCTACATAGAGGCACTCTAAGAAACTTCTTTTTGATGTGTGCATTCACCTCACAGAGCTGAACCGATCCTTCGAGTGACCAGTTTTGAATCTCTCTTTTTATACAATCTGCAAGTGGATATTTGGAGCCCTTTGCGGCCTATGGTGGAAAAGGAAATATCTTCAAATAAAAACTACACAGAAGAAACTTCTTTGTTATGTGAGCATTCAACTCACAGAGTTGAACCTATCTTTTGATTGAGCAGTTTTGAATCTCTCATTTTGCAGAATCTGCAAGGGGATATTTGGAGCCCTTTGCGGCCTATGGTGGAAAAGGAAATACCTTCAAATGAAAAGCACACAGAGGCATTCTGAGAAACTTCCTCGTGATTGTGCATTCAACTCACAGAGTTAAACCTATCTTATGATTGACCAGTTTTGGAACACTCTTTTCATAGGATCTGCAAGTGGATATTTGGCGTGCTTTGAGGCCTATCGTGGAAAAGCAAATAACTTCAGATAAAAACTATACAGAAGCATTCTGAGAAACTTCTTTGTGATGTGTGCATTGATCTCACAGAGTTGAAAGTGTATTTTGATTGAGCAGTTTTGAAACACTCTTTTTGTAGAATCTGCAAGTGGATAATTGGGGAGATTTGAGGTATATTGTGGAAAAGCAAGTATCTTCATATAAAAACTATACAGAAGCTTTCTGAGAAACATCTTTGTGAGGTTTGCATTCAACTCACAGAGCTGGAACTATCTTTTGAGTGACCAGTTTTGAATCTCTCTTTTTGTACAATCTGCAAGTGGATATTTGGAGCGTTTTGAGGCCTACATTTGAAAATCAAATATCTTCCCTTAAAAGCTACACAGAAACATTCTCAGAAATTGTTTGTCATGTGTGCTTTCAAATTACCAAGTTGAACCTACCTTGTGATTGAGCAGTTTTGAATCTCTCTTTTTGTGGAATCTGCAAGTGGATATTTTTAGCCATTTGCGGACTGTGGTGGAAAAGGAATTATCTTCAAATCCATTCTACACAGAAGCATTCAGACAAACTTTTTGTGATGAGTGCATTGGTCACACAGAATTGAACCTCTCCTTTGATTGAGCAATTCTGAAACACTCTTTCAGAGGGTCTGCAAGTGGATATTTTAGAGCTTTGGGACAATTGTGGAAAAGTAAATATCTTCACATAGAAACTACACGGAAGCATTCTGAGAAACTTCTTTGGAGGTGTGCATTCAACTCACAGAGTTGAACCTATCTTTTCATTGAGCAGTTTTGAATCTCTCTTTTTGTAGACTCTGCTTGCAGATACTTGGAGAGCTTTGAGGCCTATTGTGGAAAAGGAATCATCTTCACATAAAAACACACAGAAGCACTCTGAGAAACTTCTTTGTGAAGTGTGCATTCAACTCACAGAGTTGAACCTATCTTTTGATTGAGAAGCTTTGAATCTCTCTTTTTGTAGAAGCTGCATGTGGATATTTGGAGACGTTTGTGGCCTATGGTAGAAAAGGCAATATCTTCAAATAAAAACTAGACAGAAGCATTTTGAGAAATTTCTCTGTGCTGTGTGCATTCATATCACATGGTTGAAACTACCTTTTGGTTGAGCAGTTTTGAATCTCTCTTTTTGTAACATCTGCAATGGATATTTGGAGCCCTTTGTGGTCTGTGGTGGAAAAGGAACTATCCTCAAATAAAAACTACACAGAAGTATTCCGAGAAACTTCCTTGTGATGTGTGCATTCATCTCACAGGGTTGAACCTTTGGTTTGATTGAGCAGTTTTGAGACAATCTTTCCATAGAATCTGGAAGTGAATATTTGGAGAACCTTGAGATCTATTTTGGAGAAGGAGATATCTTTATATGAAAACTGCACAGAAGCATTCTGAGAAACATCTTTGTGAGGTGTGCAATGAAGTCACAGAGTTGAAACTATGTTTTGATTCAGCAGTTTTGAGTCTCTCTTTTTGCAGAATCTGCGAGTGGATATCTGGAGAACTTGGAGGCCTATTTGGAAAAGGAAATATCTTCACATATAAACTATGCAGAAGCATTTTGAGATTCTTCTTTGTGAGGTGTGCATGCAACTCACAGAGTTGAACTTATCTTTTCCTTGAGCACTTTCATATCTCATTTTCTGTAGAATCTGCAAGTGGATATTTGGAGCTCTTTGCACCCTGTGGTGGAAAGGGAACTATCTTCATATAAAAACTACAAAGAAGCATTCAGAGAAACTTCTTGTGATGAATGCATTCCTCACACAGAGCTGAACCTTTCTTTTTATGGAGCAGTATTGAAACGCTCTTTTTGCAGAATCACCAAGTGGATATTTGGAGAGCTTTGGGGCCTGTTTTGGAAAATGAAATATCTTCAAAGTAAAACTACACAGAACCATTCTGAGAAACTTCTTTATGATGTGTGCATTCAACTCTCAGAGTTGAACCTACCTTATGATTGAGCAATTTGGAAACACTCTTTTTGTAGAGCCTGCAAGTGGATATTTAGAACGATTTGAGGCCTATTGTGGAAAAGCAAATATCTTCACATAAAAACTACACAGAAGCATTCTGAGAAACTTCTTTGGCATGTGTGCATTCAACTAACAGTGTTGAACGTATCTTTTGATTGAGCAGCTTAGAATCTCTCTTTTTGTAGAAAATGCAAGTAGATATTTGGAGCCCCATTTTGCCCTATGGTAGAAAACAAAACATCTTCACATAAAATCTACACAGAAGCATTCTGAGAAACTTCTTTGTGATGTTTGCATTGAACTCCCAGAGTCGAACCTATCTTTTGATAGAGCACTTTTGTATCTCTCTTTTTGCGGAATCTGCAAGTGGATATTTGGAAAGCTTGAGGCCTATTGTGAAAAAGGAAATATCTTCACATAAAAACTACAGAGAAGCATTCTGAGAAACTTCTTTGTGAGGCATGGATTCAACCCACAGAGTTGGACTTATCATTGAGCAGTTTTGAATCTCTCTTTTTGTCGAATCTGCAAGTGGATATTTGGAGCCCTTTGCAACCTAGGGTGGAAAAGGAAATACCTTCAAATAAAAACTATATAGAAGCATTCCGTAAAACTTCTTTGTGATGTGTGCATTCGTCTCACAGAGTTGAACCTATCTAATGATTGAGCGGTTTTGAAACACTCATTTTGTAGAACCTGCAAGTGGATATTGGGAGTACTTTGTGGCCTTCTTTGGAAAAGGGAATATCTTCACATAAAAACTACAAAGAAGCATTCTGAGAAACTTCTTTGTGATGTGCGCATTCATCTCACAGTGTTGGACGTTTCTTTTGATAGGGCAGTTTTGAAACACTCTTTTTCTAGAATCTGCAAGTGGATATTTGGAGTGCTTTGAGGCCTAATGTGGAAAATCAAATATCTTCACATAAAAACTACACAGAGGCATTCTGAGAAACTTCTTTTTTGTGTGTGCATTCAACTCACATAGTTGAAGTAATCTTTGGATTTAGCTGTTTTGAATCTCCTTTTTGCAGAATCTGCAAGTTGATACTTGGAGCCCTGTTTCACCCTATAGTGGAAAAGCAAATATCTTCACATAAACAAACCCTACAGAGAAGCATTCAGAGAAAGTCCTTTGTGATGTGTGCATTGAACATGCAGAGTTGACACTATCTTTTGATTGTACAGTTTTGAATACGTCTTTTTGTAGAATCTGCAAGTGGAAGTTTGGAGCTGTTTGCACCCTGTGGTGTAAAAGGAAATATCTTCATATAAAAGCTACACAGAAGCATTCAGAAAGACTTCTTTGTGATGAATGCGTTCCTCACACAGAGTTGAATCTTCCTTTTTATTGAGTAGTATTGAAACCCTCTTTTTGCAGAATAACCAGGTGGATATTTGGAGAGCTTTGAGGCCTGTTTTGGAAAAGGAAATATCTTCAAATTAAAACCACACAGAAGCATTCTGAGAAGCTTCTTTGTGATGTGTGCATTCAACTCTCAGAGTTCAACGTGTCTTATGATGGAGCAGTTTGGAAACACTCTTTTTTGTAGAAACTGCAAGTGGATATGTAGAGCGATTTGAGGCCTACTGTGGAAAAGCAAATATCTTCACATAACAACTACACAGAAGCACTCCTAGAAACTTCTTTGTGATGTGTGAATTCAACTCACAGAGCTGAACCTATCTTTTGATGGAGTAGCTTAGAATCTCTCTTTTTTTAGAATCTGCACGTGGATATTTGGAGCGCTTTGAGACCTAAAGTGGAAAAGCAAATATCTTCACATAAAATCTACATAGAGGCACTCTAAGAAACTTCTTTTTGATGTGTGCATTCACCTCACAGAGCTGAACCGATCCTTCGAGTGACCAGTTTTGAATCTCTCTTTTTATACAATCTGCAAGTGGATATTTGGAGCCCTTTGCGGCCTATGGTGGAAAAGGAAATATCTTCAAATAAAAACTACACAGAAATACTGTGAGAAACTTCTTTGTTATGTGAGCATTCAACTCACAGAGTTGAACCTATCTTTTGATTGAGCAGTTTTGAATCTCTCATTTTGCAGAATCTGTAAGGGGATATTTGGAGCCCTTTGCGGCCTATGGTGGAAAAGGAAATACCTTCAAATGAAAAGCACACAGAGGCATTCTGAGAAACTTCCTCGTGATTGTGCATTCAACTCACAGAGTTAAACCTATCTTATGATTGACCAGTTTTGGAACACTCTTTTCATAGGATCTGCAAGTGGATATTTGGCGTGCTTTGAGGCCTATCGTGGAAAAGCAAATAACTTCAGATAAAAACTATACAGAAGCATTCTGAGAAACTTCTTTGTGATGTGTGCATTGATCTCACAGAGTTGAAAGTGTATTTTGATTGAGCAGTTTTGAAACACTCTTTTTGTAGAATCTGCAAGTGGATAATTGGGGAGATTTGAGGTATATTGTGGAAAAGCAAGTATCTTCATATAAAAACTATACAGAAGCTTTCTGAGAAACATCTTTGTGAGGTTTGCATTCAACTCACAGAGCTGGAACTATCTTTTGAGTGACCAGTTTTGAATCTCTCTTTTTGTACAATCTGCAAGTGGATATTTGGAGCGTTTTGAGGCCTACATTTGAAAATCAAATATCTTCCCTTAAAAGCTACACAGAAACATTCTCAGAAATTGTTTGTCATGTGTGCTTTCAAATTACCAAGTTGAACCTACCTTGTGATTGAGCAGTTTTGAATCTCTCTTTTTGTGGAATCTGCAAGTGGATATTTTTAGCCATTTGCGGACTGTGGTGGAAAAGGAATTATCTTCAAATCCATTCTACACAGAAGCATTCAGACAAACTTTTTGTGATGAGTGCATTGGTCACACAGAATTGAACCTCTCCTTTGATTGAGCAATTCTGAAACACTCTTTCAGAGGGTCTGCAAGTGGATATTTTAGAGCTTTGGGACAATTGTGGAAAAGTAAATATCTTCACATAGAAACTACACGGAAGCATTCTGAGAAACTTCTTTGGAGGTGTGCATTCAACTCACAGAGTTGAACCTATCTTTTCATTGAGCAGTTTTGAATCTCTCTTTTTGTAGACTCTGCTTGCAGATACTTGGAGAGCTTTGAGGCCTATTGTGGAAAAGGAATCATCTTCACATAAAAACACACAGAAGCACTCTGAGAAACTTCTTTGTGAAGTGTGCATTCAACTCACAGAGTTGAACCTATCTTTTGATTGAGAAGCTTTGAATCTCTCTTTTTGTAGAAGCTGCATGTGGATATTTGGAGACGTTTGTGGCCTATGGTAGAAAAGGCAATATCTTCAAATAAAAACTAGACAGAAGCATTTTGAGAAATTTCTCTGTGCTGTGTGCATTCATATCACATGGTTGAAACTACCTTTTGGTTGAGCAGTTTTGAATCTCTCTTTTTGTAACATCTGCAATGGATATTTGGAGCCCTTTGTGGTCTGTGGTGGAAAAGGAACTATCCTCAAATAAAAACTACACAGAAGTATTCCGAGAAACTTCCTTGTGATGTGTGCATTCATCTCACAGGGTTGAACCTTTGGTTTGATTGAGCAGTTTTGAGACAATCTTTCCATAGAATCTGGAAGTGAATATTTGGAGAACCTTGAGATCTATTTTGGAGAAGGAGATATCTTTATATGAAAACTGCACAGAAAGCATTCTGAGAAACATCTTTGTGAGGTGTGCAATGAAGTCACAGAGTTGAAACTATGTTTTGATTCAGCAGTTTTGAGTCTCTCTTTTTGCAGAATCTGCGAGTGGATATCTGGAGAACTTGGAGGCCTATTTGGAAAAGGAAATATCTTCACATATAAACTATGCAGAAGCATTTTGAGATTCTTCTTTGTGAGGTGTGCATGCAACTCACAGAGTTGAACTTATCTTTTCCTTGAGCACTTTCATATCTCATTTTCTGTAGAATCTGCAAGTGGATATTTGGAGCTCTTTGCACCCTGTGGTGGAAAGGGAACTATCTTCATATAAAAACTACAAAGAAGCATTCAGAGAAACTTCTTGTGATGAATGCATTCCTCACACAGAGCTGAACCTTTCTTTTTATTGAGCAGTATTGAAACGCTCTTTTTGCAGAATCACCAAGTGGATATTTGGAGAGCTTTGGGGCCTGTTTTGGAAAATGAAATATCTTCAAAGTAAAACTACACAGAACCATTCTGAGAAACTTCTTTATGATGTGTGCATTCAACTCTCAGAGTTGAACCTACCTTATGATTGAGCAATTTGGAAACACTCTTTTTGTAGAGCCTGCAAGTGGATATTTAGAACGATTTGAGGCCTATTGTGGAAAAGCAAATATCTTCACATAAAAACTACACAGAAGCATTCTGAGAAACTTCTTTGGCATGTGTGCATTCAACTAACAGTGTTGAACGTATCTTTTGATTGAGCAGCTTAGAATCTCTCTTTTTGTAGAAAATGCAAGTAGATATTTGGAGCCCCATTTTGCCCTATGGTAGAAAACAAAACATCTTCACATAAAATCTACACAGAAGCATTCTGAGAAACTTCTTTGTGATGTTTGCATTGAACTCCCAGAGTCGAACCTATCTTTTGATAGAGCACTTTTGTATCTCTCTTTTTGCGGAATCTGCAAGTGGATATTTGGAAAGCTTGAGGCCTATTGTGAAAAAGGAAATATCTTCACATAAAAACTACAGAGAAGCATTCTGAGAAACTTCTTTGTGAGGCATGGATTCAACCCACAGAGTTGGACTTATCATTGAGCAGTTTTGAATCTCTCTTTTTGTCGAATCTGCAAGTGGATATTTGGAGCCCTTTGCAACCTAGGGTGGAAAAGGAAATACCTTCAAATAAAAACTATATAGAAGCATTCCGTAAAACTTCTTTGTGATGTGTGCATTCGTCTCACAGAGTTGAACCTATCTAATGATTGAGCGGTTTTGAAACACTCATTTTGTAGAACCTGCAAGTGGATATTGGGAGTACTTTGTGGCCTTCCTTTGGAAAAGGGAATATCTTCACATAAAAACTACAAAGAAGCATTCTGAGAAACTTCTTCGTGATGTGTGCATGCATCTCACAGTGTTGGACGTTTCTTTTGATGGGGCAGTTTCGAAAGAGTCTTCTTGTAGAGTCTGCAAGTGGATATTTGGAGCGCTTTGAGGCCTAATGTGGAAAATCAAATATCTTCACATAAAAACTACACAGAGGCATTCTGAGAAACTTCTTTTTTGTGTGTGCATTCAACTCACATAGTTGAAGTAATCTTTGGATTTAGCTGTTTTGAATCTCCTTTTTGCAGAATCTGCAAGTTGATACTTGGAGCCCTGTTTCACCCTATAGTGGAAAAGCAAATGTCTTCACATAAACAAACCCTACAGAGAAGCATTCAGAGAAAGTCCTTTGTGATGTGTGCATTGAACATGCAGAGTTGACACTATCTTTTGATTGTACAGTTTTGAATACGTCTTTTTGTAGAATCTGCAAGTGGAAGTTTGGAGCTGTTTGCACCCTGTGGTGTAAAAGGAAATATCTTCATATAAAAGCTACACAGAAGCATTCAGAAAGACTTCTTTGTGATGAATGCGTTCCTCACACAGAGTTGAATCTTCCTTTTTATTGAGTAGTATTGAAACCCTCTTTTTGCAGAATAACCAGGTGGATATTTGGAGAGCTTTGAGGCCTGTTTTGGAAAAGGAAATATCTTCAAATTAAAACCACACAGAAGCATTCTGAGAAGCTTCTTTGTGATGTGTGCATTCAACTCTCAGAGTTGAACGTGTCTTATGATGGAGCAGTTTGGAAACACTCTTTTTGTAGAAACTGCAAGTGGATATGTAGAGCGATTTGAGGCCTACTGTGGTAAAGCAAATATACTTCACATAACAACTACACAGAAGCACTCCTAGAAACTTCTTTGTGATGTGTGAATTCAACTCACAGAGCTGAACCTATCTTTTGATGGAGTAGCTTAGAATCTCTCTTTTTTTAGAATCTGCACGTGGATATTTGGAGCGCTTTGAGACCTAAAGTGGAAAAGCAAATATCTTCACATAAAATCTACATAGAGGCACTCTAAGAAACTTCTTTTTGATGTGTGCATTCACCTCACAGAGCTGAACCGATCCTTTGAGTGACCAGTTTTGAATCTCTCTTTTTATACAATCTGCAAGTGGATATTTGGAGCCCTTTGCGGCCTATGGTGGAAAAGGAAATATCTTCAAATAAAAACTACACAGAAATACTGTGAGAAACTTCTTTGTTATGTGAGCATTCAACTCACAGAGTTGAACCTATCTTTTGATTGAGCAGTTTTGAATCTCTCATTTTGCAGAATCTGCAAGGGGATATTTGGAGCCCTTTGCGGCCTATGGTGGAAAAGGAAATACCTTCAAATGAAAAGCACACAGAGGCATTCTGAGAAACTTCCTCGTGATTGTGCATTCAACTCACAGAGTTAAACCTATCTTATGATTGACCAGTTTTGGAACACTCTTTTCATAGGATCTGCAAGTGGATATTTGGCGTGCTTTGAGGCCTATCGTGGAAAAGCAAACTATACAGAAGCATTCTGAGAAACTTCTTTGTGATGTGTGCATTGATCTCACAGAGTTGAAAGTGTATTTTGATTGAGCAGTTTTGAAACACTCTTTTTGTAGAATCTGCAAGTGGATAATTGGGGAGATTTGAGGTATATTGTGGAAAAGCAAGTATCTTCATATAAAAACTATACAGAAGCTTTCTGAGAAACATCTTTGTGAGGTTTGCATTCAACTCACAGAGCTGGAACTATCTTTTGAGTGACCAGTTTTGAATCTCTCTTTTTGTACAATCTGCAAGTGGATATTTGGAGCGTTTTGAGGCCTACATTTGAAAATCAAATATCTTCCCTTAAAAGCTACACAGAAACATTCTCAGAAATTGTTTGTCATGTGTGCTTTCAAATTACCAAGTTGAACCTACCTTGTGATTGAGCAGTTTTGAATCTCTCTTTTTGTGGAATCTGCAAGTGGATATTTTTAGCCATTTGCGGACTGTGGTGGAAAAGGAATTATCTTCAAATCCATTCTACACAGAAGCATTCAGACAAACTTTTTGTGATGAGTGCATTGGTCACACAGAATTGAACCTCTCCTTTGATTGAGCAATTCTGAAACACTCTTTCAGAGGGTCTGCAAGTGGATATTTTAGAGCTTTGGGACAATTGTGGAAAAGTAAATATCTTCACATAGAAACTACACGGAAGCATTCTGAGAAACTTCTTTGGAGGTGTGCATTCAACTCACAGAGTTGAACCTATGTTTTCTTTGAGCAGTTTTGAATCTCTCTTTTTGTAGACTCTGCTTGCAGATACTTGGAGAGCTTTGAGGCCTATTGTGGAAAAGGAATCATCTTCACATAAAAACACACAGAAGCACTCTGAGAAACTTCTTTGTGACGTGTGCATTCAACTCACAGAGTTGAACCTATCTTTTGATTGAGAAGCTTTGAATCTCTCTTTTTGTAGTAGCTGCATGTGGATATTTGGAGACGTTTGTGGCCTATGGTAGAAAAGGCAATATCTTCAAATAAAAACTAGACAGAAGCATTTTGAGAAATTTCTCTGTGCTGTGTGCACTCATATCACATGGTTGAAACTACCTTTTGATTGAGCAGTTTTGAATCTCTCTTTTTGTACCATCTGCAATGGATATTTGGAGCCCTTTGTGGTCTGTGGTGGAAAAGGAACTATCCTCAAATAAAAACTACACAGAAGTATTCCGAGAAACTTCCTTGTGATGTGTGCATTCATCTCATAGGGTTGAACCTTTGGTTTGATTGAGCAGTTTTGAGACAATCTTTCCATAGAATCTGGAAGTGAATATTTGGAGAACCTTGAGATCTATTTTGGAGAAGGAGATATCTTTATATAAAAACTGCACAGAAGCATTCTGAGAAACATCTTTGTGAGGTGTGCAATGAAGTCACAGAGTTGAAACTATGCTTTGATTCAGCAGTTTTGAGTCTCTCTTTTTGCAGAATCTGCGAGTGGATATCTGGAGAACTTGGAGGCCTATTTGGAAAAGGAAATATCTTCACATATAAACTATGCAGAAGCATTTTGAGATTCTTCTTTGTGAGGTGTGCATGCAACTAACAGAGTTGAACTTATCTTTTCCTTGAGCACTTTCGTATCTCATTTTCTGTAGAATCTGCAAGTGGATATTTGGAGCTCTTTGCACCCTGTGGTGGAAAGGGAACTATCTTCATATAAAAACTACAAAGAAGCATTCAGAGAAACTTCTTGTGATGAATGCATTCCTCACACAGAGCTGAACCTTTCTTTTTATGGAGCAGTATTGAAACGCTCTTTTTGCAGAATCACCAAGTGGATATTTGGAGAGCTTTGGGGCCTGTTTTGGAAAATGAAATTCTTCAAAGTAAAACTACACAGAACCATTCTGAGAAACTTCTTCATGATGTGAGCATTCAACTCTCAGTAGTTGAAGCTACCTTATGATTGAGCAATTTGGAAACACTCTTTTTGTAGAGCCTGCAAGTGGATATTTAGAACGATTTGAGGCCTATTGTGGAAAAGCAAATATCTTCACATAAAAACTACACAGAAGCATTCTGAGAAACTTCTTTGTCATGTGTGCATTCAACTAACAGTGTTGAACGTATCTTTTGATTGAGCAGCTTAGAATCTCTCTTTTTGTAGAAAATGCAAGTAGATATTTGGAGCCCCATTTTGCCCTATGGTAGAAAACAAAACATCTTCACATAAAATCTACACAGAAGCATTCTGAGAAACTTCTTTGTGATGTTTGCATTGAACTCCCAGAGTCGAACCTATCTTTTGATAGAGCACTTTTGTATCTCTCTTTTTGCGGAATCTGCAAGTGGATATTTGGAAAGCTTGAGGCCTATTGTGAAAAAGGAAATATCTTCACATAAAAACTACAGAGAAGCATTCTGAGAAACTTCTTTGTGAGGCATGGATTCAACCCACAGAGTTGGACTTGTCATTGAGCAGTTTTGAATCTCTCTTTTTGTCGAATCTGCAAGTGGATATTTGGAGCCCTTTGTAACCTAGGGTGGAAAAGGAAATACCTTCAAATAAAAACTATATAGAAGCATTCCGTAAAACTTCTTTGTGACGTGTGCATTCGTCTCACAGAGTTGAACCTATCTAATGATTGAGCGGTTTTGAAACACTCATTTTGTAGAACCTGCAAGTGGATATTGGGAGTACTTTGTGGCCTTCTTTGGAAAAGGGAATATCTTCACATAAAAACTACAAAGAAGCATTCTGAGAAACTTCTTTGTGATGTGTGCATTCATCTCACAGTGTTGGACGTTTCTTTTGATAGGGCAGTTTTGAAACACTCTTTTTCTAGAATCTGCAAGTGGATATTTGGAGCGCTTTGAGGCCTAATGTGGAAAATCAAATATCTTCACATAAAAACTACACAGAGGCATTCTGAGAAACTTCTTTTTTGTGTGTGCATTCAACTCACATAGTTGAAGTAATCTTTGGATTTAGCTGTTTTGAATCTCCTTTTTGCAGAATCTGCAAGTTGATACTTGGAGCCCTGTTTCACCCTATAGTGGAAAAGCAAATATCTTCACATAAACAAACCCTACAGAGAAGCATTCAGAGAAAGTCCTTTGTGATGTGTGCATTGAACATGCACAGTTGACACTATCTTTTGATTGTACAGTTTTGAATACGTCTTTTTGTAGAATCTGCAAGTGGAAGTTTGGAGCTGTTTGCACCCTGTGGTGTAAAAGGAAATATCTTCATATAAAAGCTACACAGAAGCATTCAGAAAGACTTCTTTGTGATGAATGCGTTCCTCACACAGAGTTGAATCTTCCTTTTTATTGAGTAGTATTGAAACCCTCTTTTTGCAGAATAACCAGGTGGATATTTGGAGAGCTTTGAGGCCTGTTTTGGAAAAGCAAATATCTTCAAATTAAAACCACACAGAAGCATTCTGAGAAGCTTCTTTGTGATGTGTGCATTCAACTCTCAGAGTTCAACGTGTCTTATGATGGAGCAGTTTGGAAACACTCTTTTTTGTAGAAACTGCAAGTGGATATGTAGAGCGATTTGAGGCCTACTGTGGAAAAGCAAATATCTTCACATAACAACTACACAGAAGCACTCCTAGAAACTTCTTTGTGATGTGTGAATTCAACTCACAGAGCTGAACCTATCTTTTGATGGAGTAGCTTAGAATCTCTCTTTTTTTAGAATCTGCACGTGGATATTTGGAGCGCTTTGAGACCTAAAGTGGAAAAGCAAATATCTTCACATAAAATCTACATAGAGGCACTCTAAGAAACTTCTTTTTGATGTGTGCATTCACCTCACAGAGCTGAACCGATCCTTCGAGTGACCAGTTTTGAATCTCTCTTTTTATACAATCTGCAAGTGGATATTTGGAGCCCTTTGCGGCCTATGGTGGAAAAGGAAATATCTTCAAATAAAAACTACACAGAAGAAACTTCTTTGTTATGTGAGCATTCAACTCACAGAGTTGAACCTATCTTTTGATTGAGCAGTTTTGAATCTCTCATTTTGCAGAATCTGCAAGGGGATATTTGGAGCCCTTTGCAGCCTATGGTGGAAAAGGAAATACCTTCAAATGAAAAGCACACAGAGGCATTCTGAGAAACTTCCTCGTGATTGTGCATTCAACTCACAGAGTTAAACCTATCTTATGATTGACCAGTTTTGGAACACTCTTTTCATAGGATCTGCAAGTGGATATTTGGCGTGCTTTGAGGCCTATCGTGGAAAAGCAAACTATACAGAAGCATTCTGAGAAACTTCTTTGTGATGTGTGCATTGATCTCACAGAGTTGAAAGTGTATTTTGATTGAGCAGTTTTGAAACACTCTTTTTGTAGAATCTGCAAGTGGATAATTGGGGAGATTTGAGGTATATTGTGGAAAAGCAAGTATCTTCATATAAAAACTATACAGAAGCTTTCTGAGAAACATCTTTGTGAGGTTTGCATTCAACTCACAGAGCTGGAACTATCTTTTGAGTGACCAGTTTTGAATCTCTCTTTTTGTACAATCTGTAAGTGGATATTTGGAGCGTTTTGAGGCCTACATTTGAAAATCAAATATCTTCCCTTAAAAGCTACACAGAAACATTCTCAGAAATTGTTTGTCATGTGTGCTTTCAAATTACCAAGTTGAACCTACCTTGTGATTGAGCAGTTTTGAATCTCTCTTTTTGTGGAATCTGCAAGTGGATATTTTTAGCCATTTGCGGACTGTGGTGGAAAAGGAATTATCTTCAAATCCATTCTACACAGAAGCATTCAGACAAACTTTTTGTGATGAGTGCATTGGTCACACAGAATTGAACCTCTCCTTTGATTGAGCAATTCTGAAACACTCTTTCAGAGGGTCTGCAAGTGGATATTTTAGAGCTTTGGGACAATTGTGGAAAAGTAAATATCTTCACATAAAAACTACACGGAAGCATTCTGAGAAACTTCTTTGGAGGTGTGCATTCAACTCACAGAGTTGAACCTATCTTTTCATTGAGCAGTTTTGAATCTCTCTTTTTGTAGACTCTGCTTGCAGATATTTGGAGAGCTTTGAGGCCTATTGTGGAAAAGGGATCATCTTCACATAAAAACACACAGAAGCACTCTGAGAAACTTCTTTGTGAAGTGTGCATTCAACTCACAGAGTTGAACCTATCTTTTGATTGAGAAGCTTTGAATCTCTCTTTTTGTAGAAGCTGCATGTGGATATTTGGAGACGTTTGTGGCCTATGGTAGAAAAGGCAATATCTTCAAATAAAAACTAGACAGAAGCATTTTGAGAAATTTCTCTGTGCTGTGTGCATTCATATCACATGGTTGAAACTACCTTTTGATTGAGCAGTTTTGAATCTCTCTTTTTGTACCATCTGCAATGGATATTTGGAGCCCTTTGTGGTCTGTGGTGGAAAAGGAACTATCCTCAAATAAAAACTACACAGAAGTATTCCGAGAAACTTCCTTGTGATGTGTGCATTCATCTCATAAGGTTGAACCTTTGGTTTGATTGAGCAGTTTTGAGACAATCTTTCCATAGAATCTGGAAGTGAATATTTGGAGAACCTTGAGATCTATTTTGGAGAAGGAGATATCTTTATATAAAAACTGCACAGAAGCATTCTGAGAAACATCTTTGTGAGGTGTGCAATGAAGTCACAGAGTTGAAACTATGCTTTGATTCAGCAGTTTTGAGTCTCTCTTTTTGCAGAATCTGCGAGTGGATATCTGGAGAACTTGGAGGCCTATTTGGAAAAGGAAATATCTTCACATATAAACTATGCAGAAGCATTTTGAGATTCTTCTTTGTGAGGTGAGGCATGCAACTAACAGAGTTGAACTTATCTTTTCCTTGAGCACTTTCGTATCTCATTTTCTGTAGAATCTGCAAGTGGATATTTGGAGCTCTTTGCACCCTGTGGTGGAAAGGGAACTATCTTCATATAAAAACTACAGAGAAAGCATTCAGAGAAACTTCTTGTGATGAATGCATTCCTCACACAGAGCTGAACCTTTCTTTTTATGGAGCAGTATTGAAACGCTCTTTTTGCAGAATCACCAAGTGGATATTTGGAGAGCTTTGGGGCCTGTTTTGGAAAATGAAATATCTTCAAAGTAAAACTACACAGACCATTCTGAGAAACTTCTTTATGATGTGTGCATTCAACTCTCAGAGTTGAACCTACCTTATGATTGACCAATTTGGAAACACTCTTTTTGTAGAGCCTGCAAGTGGATATTTAGAACGATTTGAGGCCTATTGTGGAAAAGCAAATATCTTCACATAAAAACTACACAGAAGCATTCTGAGAAACTTCTTTGGCATGTGTGCATTCAACTAACAGTGTTGAACGTATCTTTTGATTGAGCAGCTTAGAATCTCTCTTTTTGTAGAAAATGCAAGTAGATATTTGGAGCCCCATTTTGCCCTATGGTAGAAAACAGAACATCTTCACATAAAAACTACACAGAAGCATTCTGAGAAACTTCTTTGTGATGTTTGCATTGAACTCCCAGAGTCGAACCTATCTTTTGATAGAGCACTTTTGTATCTCTCTTTTTGCGGAATCTGCAAGTGGATATTTGGAAAGCTTGAGACCTATTGTGAAAAAGGAAATATCTTCACATAAAAACTACAGAGAAGCATTCTGAGAAACTTCTTTGTGAGGCATGGATTCAACCCACAGAGTTGGACTTATCATTGAGCAGTTTTGAATCTCTCTTTTTGTCGAATCTGCAAGTGGATATTTGGAGCCCTTTGCAACCTAGGGTGGAAAAGGAAATACCTTCAAATAAAAACTATATAGAAGCATTCCGTAAAACTTCTTTGTGATGTGTGCATTCGTCTCACAGAGTTGAACCTATCTAATGATTGAGCGGTTTTGAAACACTCATTTTGTAGAACCTGCAAGTGGATATTGGGAGTACTTTGTGGCCTTCTTTGGAAAAGGGAATATCTTCACATAAAAACTACAAAGAAGCATTCTGAGAAACTTCTTTGTGATGTGTGCATTCATCTCACAGTGTTGGACGTTTCTTTTGATAGGGCAGTTTTGAAACACTCTTTTTCTAGAATCTGCAAGTGGATATTTGGAGCGCTTTGAGGCCTAATGTGGAAAATCAAATATCTTCACATAAAAACTACACAGAGGCATTCTGAGAAACTTCTTTTTTGTGTGTGCATTCAACTCATATAGTTGAAGTAATCTTTGGATTTAGCTGTTTTGAATCTCCTTTTTGCAGAATCTGCAAGTTGATACTTGGAGCCCTGTTTCACCCTATAGTCGAAAAGCAAATATCTTCACATAAACAAACCCTACAGAGAAGCATTCAGAGAAAGTCCTTTGTGATGTGTGCATTGAACATGCAGAGTTGACACTATCTTTTGATTGTACAGTTTTGAATACGTCTTTTTGTAGAATCTGCAAGTGGAAGTTTGGAGCTGTTTGCACCCTGTGGTGTAAAAGGAAATATCTTCATATAAAAGCTACACAGAAGCATTCAGAAAGACTTCTTTGTGATGAATGCGTTCCTCACACAGAGTTGAATCTTCCTTTTTATTGAGTAGTATTGAAACCCTCTTTTTGCAGAATAACCAGGTGGATATTTGGAGAGCTTTGAGGCCTGTTTTGGAAAAGGAAATATCTTCAAATTAAAACCACACAGAAGCATTCTGAGAAGCTTCTTTGTGATGTGTGCATTCAACTCTCAGAGTTCAACGTGTCTTATGATGGAGCAGTTTGGAAACACTCTTTTTTGTAGAAACTGCAAGTGGATATGTAGAGCGATTTGAGGCCTACTGTGGAAAAGCAAATATCTTCACATAACAACTACACAGAAGCACTCCTAGAAACTTCTTTGTGATGTGTGAATTCAACTCACAGAGCTGAACCTATCTTTTGATGGAGTAGCTTAGAATCTCTCTTTTTTTAGAATCTGCACGTGGATATTTGGAGCGCTTTGAGACCTAAAGTGGAAAAGCAAATATCTTCACATAAAATCTACATAGAGGCACTCTAAGAAACTTCTTTTTGATGTGTGCATTCACCTCACAGAGCTGAACCGATCCTTTGAGTGACCAGTTTTGAATCTCTCTTTTTATACAATCTGCAAGTGGATATTTGGAGCCCTTTGCGGCCTATGGTGGAAAAGGAAATATCTTCAAATAAAAACTACACAGAAATACTGTGAGAAACTTCTTTGTTATGTGAGCATTCAACTCACAGAGTTGAACCTATCTTTTGATTGAGCAGTTTTGAATCTCTCATTTTGCAGAATCTGCAAGGGGATATTTGGAGCCCTTTGTGGCCTATGGTGGAAAAGGAAATACCTTCAAATGAAAAGCACACAGAGGCATTCTGAGAAACTTCCTCGTGATTGTGCATTCAACTCACAGAGTTAAACCTATCTTATGATTGACCAGTTTTGGAACACTCTTTTCATAGGATCTGCAAGTGGATATTTGGCGTGCTTTGAGGCCTATCGTGGAAAAGCAAACTATACAGAAGCATTCTGAGAAACTTCTTTGTGATGTGTGCATTGATCTCACAGAGTTGAAAGTGTATTTTGATTGAGCAGTTTTGAAACACTCTTTTTGTAGAATCTGCAAGTGGATAATTGGGGAGATTTGAGGTATATTGTGGAAAAGCAAGTATCTTCATATAAAAACTATACAGAAGCTTTCTGAGAAACATCTTTGTGAGGTTTGCATTCAACTCACAGAGCTGGAACTATCTTTTGAGTGACCAGTTTTGAATCTCTCTTTTTGTACAATCTGCAAGTGGATATTTGGAGCGTTTTGAGGCCTACATTTGAAAATCAAATATCTTCCCTTAAAAGCTACACAGAAACATTCTCAGAAATTGTTTGTCATGTGTGCTTTCAAATTACCAAGTTGAACCTACCTTGTGATTGAGCAGTTTTGAATCTCTCTTTTTGTGGAATCTGCAAGTGGATATTTTTAGCCATTTGCGGACTGTGGTGGAAAAGGAATTATCTTCAAATCCATTCTACACAGAAGCATTCAGACAAACTTTTTGTGATGAGTGCATTGGTCACACAGAATTGAACCTCTCCTTTGATTGAGCAATTCTGAAGCACTCTTTCAGAGGGTCTGCAAGTGGATATTTTAGAGCTTTGGGACAATTGTGGAAAAGTAAATATCTTCACATAGAAACTACACGGAAGCATTCTGAGAAACTTCTTTGGAGGTGTGCATTCAACTCACAGAGTTGAACCTATCTTTTCATTGAGCAGTTTTGAATCTCTCTTTTTGTAGACTCTGCTTGCAGATATTTGGAGAGCTTTGAGGCCTATTGTGGAAAAGGAATCATCTTCACATAAAAACACACAGAAGCACTCTGAGAAACTTCTTTGTGAAGTGTGCATTCAACTCACAGAGTTGAACCTATCTTTTGATTGAGAAGCTTTGAATCTCTCTTTTTGTAGAAGCTGCATGTGGATATTTGGAGACGTTTGTGGCCTATGGTAGAAAAGGCAATATCTTCAAATAAAAACTAGACAGAAGCATTTTGAGAAATTTCTCTGTGCTGTGTGCATTCATATCACATGGTTGAAACTACCTTTTGATTGAGCAGTTTTGAATCTCTCTTTTTGTAACATCTGCAATGGATATTTGGAGCCCTTTGTGGTCTGTGGTGGAAAAGGAACTATCCTCAAATAAAAACTACACAGAAGTATTCTGAGAAACTTCTTTGTGATGTGTGCATTTATCTCACAGAGTTGAACCTTTGGTTTGATTGAGCAGTTTTGAGATAATCTTTCCATAGAATCTGGAAGTGAATACTTGGATAACTTTGAGATCTATTTTGGAGAAGGAGATATCTTTATATAAAAACTGCACAGAAGCATTCTGAGAAACATCTTTGTGAGGTGTGCAATGAAGTCACAGAGTTGAAACTATCTTTTGATTCAGCAGTTTTGAGTCTCTCTTTTTGCAGAATCTGCGAGTGGATATCTGGAGAACGTTGAGGCCTACTTGGAAAAGGAAATATCTTCACATAAAAACTACGCAGAAGCATTTTGAGATACTTCTTTGTGAGGTGTGCATTCAACTCACAGAGTTGAACTTATCTTTCCATGGAGCACTTTCATATCTCTTTTTTTGTGGAATCTGCAAGTGGATATTTGGAGCTCTTTGCACCCTGTGGTGGAAAGGGAAATATCTTCATATAAAAACTACAAAGAAGCATTCAGAGAAACTTCTTTGTGATGAATGCATTCCTCACACAGAGTTGAGCCTTTCTTTTTATTGAGCAGTATTGAAACGCTCTTTTTGCAGAATCACCAAGTGGATATTTGGAGAGCTTTGGGGCCTGATTTGGAAAATGAAATATCTTCAAAGTAAAACTACACAGAACCATTCTGAGAAACTTCTTCATGATGTGAGCATTCAACTCTCAGAGTTGAAGCTACCTTATGATTGAGCAATTTGGAAACACTCTTTTTGTAGAGCCTGCAAGTGGATATTTAGAACGATTTGAGGCCTATTGTGGAAAAGCAAATATCTTCACATAAAAACTACACAGAAGCATTCTCAGAGACTTCTTTGGGATGTGTGCATTCAACTAACAGTGTTGAACCTATCTTTTGATTGAGCAGCTTAGAATCTCTCCTTTTGTAGAAAATGCAAGTAGAGATTTGGAGCCCCATTTCGCCCTATGGTAGAAAACAGAACATCTTCACATAAAAACTACGCAGAAGCATTCTGAGAAACTTCTTTGTGATGTTTGCATTGAACTCCCAGAGTCGAACCTATCTTTTGATAGAGCAGTTTTGTATCTCTCTTTTTGCAGAATCTGCAAGTGGATATTTGGAAAGCTTGAGGCCTATTGTGAAAAAGGAAATATCTTCACATAGAAACTACAGAGAAGCATTCTGAGAAACTTCTCTGTGAGGCATGGATTCAACCCACAGAGTTGGACTTATCATTGAGCAGTTTTGAATCTCTCTTTTGGTCGAATCTGCAAGTGGATATTTGGAGCCCTTTTGCAACCTATGGTGGAAAAGGAAACACCTTCACATAAAAACTATATAGAAGCATTCCGAAAAACTTCTTTGTGATGTGTGCATTCATCTCACAGAGTTGAACCTATCTAATGATTGAGCAGTTTTGAAACACTCATTTTGTAGAACCTGGAAGTGGATATTGGGAGTAGTTTGTGGCCTTCTTTGGAAAAGGAAATATCTTCACATGAAAACTACAAAGAAGCATTCTGAGAAACTTCTTTGTGATGTGTGCATGCATCTCACAGTGTTGGACGTTTCCTTTTGATGGGGCAGTTTCGAAAGAGTCTTCTTGTAGAGTCTGCAAGTGGATATTTGGAGCGCTTTGAGGCCTAATGTGGAAAATCAAATATCTTCACATAAAAACTACACAGAGGCATTCTGAGAAACTTCTTTTTTGTGTGTGCATTCAACTCACATAGTTGAAGTTATCTTTCGATTTAGCTGTTTTGAATCTCCTTTTTGCAGAATCTGCAAGTTGATACCTGGAGCCCTGTTTCACCCTATAGTGGAAAAGCAAATATCTTCACATAAACAAACACTACAGAGAAGCATTCAGAGAAAGTCCTTTGTGATGTGTGCATTGAACACGCAGAGTTGAAACTATCTTTTGATTGTACAGTTTTGAATATCTCTTTTTGTAGAATCTGCAAGTGGAAGTTTGGAGCTGTTTGCACGCTGTGGTGCAAAAGGAAATATCTTCATATAAAAACTACACAGAAGCTTTCAGAGAGACTTCTTTGTGAGGAATGCGTTCCTCACACAGAGTTGAATCTACCTTTTTATTGAGTAGTTTTGAAACCCTCTTTTTGCAGAATAACCAGGGGGATATTTGGAGAGCTTTGAGGCCTGTTTTGGAAAAGGAAATATCTTCAAATTAAAACCACACAGAAGCATTCTGAGAAACTTCTTTGTGATGTGTGCATTCAACTCTCAGAGTTGAACGTGTCTTATGATGGAGCAGTTTGGAAACACTCTTTTTGTAGAAACTGCAAGTGGATATGTAGAGCGATTTGAGGCCTACTGTGGAAAAGCAAATATCTTCACATAACAACTACACAGAAGCACTCCTAGAAACTTCTTTGTGATGTGTGAATTCAACTCACAGAGCTGAACCTATCTTTTGATGGAGTAGCTTAGAATCTCTCTTTTTTTAGAATCTGCACGTGGATATTTGGAGCGCTTTGAGACCTAAAGTGGAAAAGCAAATATCTTCACATAAAATCTACATAGAGGCACTCTAAGAAACTTCTTTTTGATGTGTGCATTCAACTCACAGAGCTGAAGCACACAGTGCTTGAGTGACCAGTTTTGAATCTCTCTTTTTGTACAATCTGCAAGTGGATATTGGGAGCCCTTTGCGGCCTGTGGTGGAAAAGGAAATATCTTCAAATAAAAACTACACAGAAGCATTCTGAGAAACTTCTTTGTGATGTGTACATTCATCTCACAGAGTTGACAATTTCTTTTGATTGAGCAGTTTTGAAACACTGCTTTTGTAGAGTCTGGAAGTTGATATTTGGAGGGCTTTGAGGTCTATTTCGGAAAAGAAAATATCTTCACTTAAAAACTAGGCAGAAATACTGTGAGAAACTTCTTTGTTATGTGAGCATTCAACTCACAGAGCTGAACCTATCTTTTGATTGAGCAGTTTTGAATCTCTCATTTTGCAGAATCTGCAAGGGGATATTTGGAGCCCTTTGCTACCTAGGGTGGAAAAGGAAATACCTCCAAATAAAAACTACACAGAGGCATTCTGAGAAACTTCTTGTGATTGTGCATTCAACTCACAGAGTTAAACCTATCTTATGATTGACCAGTTTTGGAACACTGTTTTCACAGGATCTGCAAGTGGATATTTGGTGTGCTTTGAGGCCTATCGTGGAAAAGCAAGTAACTTCAGATAAAAACTATACAGAAGCATTCTGAGAAACTTCTTTGTGATGTGTGCATTGATCTCACAGAGTTGAAAGTGTATTTTGATTGAGCAGTTTTAAAACACTCCTTCTGTAGAATCTGCAAGTGGATAATTGGAGAGATTTGAGGTATGTTGTGGAAAAGCAAATATCTTCATATAAAAACTATACAGAAGCCTTCTGAGAAACATCTTTGTGAGGTTTGCATTCAACTCACAGAGCTGGACCTATCTCTTGAGTGACCAGTTTTGAATCTCTCTTTTTGTTCAATCTGCAAGTGGATATTTGGAGCGATTTGAGGCCTACATTTGAAAATCAAATATCTTCCCTTAAAAACTACACAGAAACATTCTCAGAAATTGTTTGTCATGTGGGCTTTCAAATTACCAAGTTGAACCTATCTTGTGATTGAGCAGTTCTGAATCTCTCTTTTTGTGGAATCTGCAAATGGATATTTTTAGCCCTTTGCGGACTGTGGTGGAAAAGGAATTATCTTCAAATCCATTCTACACAGAAGCATTCAGACAAACTTCTTGGTGATGAGTGCATTGGTCACACAGAATTGAACCTCTCCTTTGATTGAGCAATTCTGAAACACTCTTTCAGAGGGTCTGCAAGTGGATATTTTAGAGCTTTGGGACAATTGTGGAAAAGTAAATATCTTCACATAGAAACTACACGGAAGCATTCTGAGAAACTTCTTTGGAGGTGTGCATTCAACTCACAGAGTTGAACCTATCTTTTCATTGAGCAGTTTTGAATCTCTCTTTTTGTAGACTCTGCTTGCAGATATTTGGAGAGCTTTGAGGCCTATTGTGGAAAAGGGAATATGTTCACATAAAAACACACAGAAGCACTCTGAGAAACTTCTTTGTGAGGTGTGCATTCAACTCACAGAGTTGAACCTATCTTTTGATGGAGAAGTTTTGAATCTCTCTTTTTGTAGAAGCTGCATGTGGATATTTGGAGACGTTTGTGGCCTATGGTAGAAAAGGATATATCTTCAAATAAAAACTAGACAGAAGCATTTTGAGAAAATTCTCTGTGCTGTGTGCATTCATATCACATGGTTGAAACTACCTTTTGATTGAGCAGTTTCGAGTCTCTCTGTTTGTACCATCTGCAATGGATATTTGGAGCCCTTTGTGGTCTGTGGTGGAAAAGGAACTATCCTCAAATAAAAACTACACGGAAGTATTCTGAGAAACTTCTTTGTGATGTGTGCATTTATCTCACAGAGTTGAACCTTTGGTTTGATTGAGCAGTTTTGAGATAATCTTTCCATAGAATCTGGAAGTGAATACTTGGATAACTTTGAGATCTATTTTGGAGAAGGAGATATCTTTATATAAAAACTGCACAGAAGCATTCTGAGAAACATCTTTGTGAGGTGTGCAATGAAGTCACAGAGTTGAAACTATCTTTTGATTCAGCAGTTTTGAGTCTCTCTTTTTGCAGAATCTGCGAGTGGATATCTGGAGAACGTTGAGGCCTACTTGGAAAAGGAAATATCTTCACATAAAAACTACGCAGAAGCATTTTGAGATACTTCTTTGTGAGGTGTGCATTCAACTCACAGAAGTTGAACTTATCTTTCCATGGAGCACTTTCATATCTCTTTTTTTGTGGAATCTGCAAGTGGATATTTGGAGCTCTTTGCACCCTGTGGTGGAAAGGGAAATATCTTCATATAAAAACTACAAAGAAGCATTCAGAGAAACTTCTTTGTGATGAATGCATTCCTCACACAGAGTTGAGCCTTTCTTTTTATTGAGCAGTATTGAAACGCTCTTTTTGCAGAATCACCAAGTGGATATTTGGAGAGCTTTGGGGCCTGATTTGGAAAATGAAATATCTTCAAAGTAAAACTACACAGAACCATTCTGAGAAACTTCTTCATGATGTGAGCATTCAACTCTCAGAGTTGAAGCTACCTTATGATTGAGCAATTTGGAAACACTCTTTTTGTAGAGCCTGCAAGTGGATATTTAGAACGATTTGAGGCCTATTGTGGAAAAGCAAATATCTTCACATAAAAACTACACAGAAGCATTCTCAGAGACTTCTTTGGGATGTGTGCATTCAACTAACAGTGTTGAACCTATCTTTTGATTGAGCAGCTTAGAATCTCTCCTTTTGTAGAAAATGCAAGTAGAGATTTGGAGCCCCATTTCGCCCTATGGTAGAAAACAGAACATCTTCACATAAAAACTACGCAGAAGCATTCTGAGAAACTTCTTTGTGATGTTTGCATTGAACTCCCAGAGTCGAACCTATCTTTTGATAGAGCAGTTTTGTATCTCTCTTTTTGCAGAATCTGCAAGTGGATATTTGGAAAGCTTGAGGCCTATTGTGAAAAAGGAAATATCTTCACATAGAAACTACAGAGAAGCATTCTGAGAAACTTCTCTGTGAGGCATGGATTCAACCCACAGAGTTGGACTTATCATTGAGCAGTTTTGAATCTCTCTTTTGGTCGAATCTGCAAGTGGATATTTGGAGCCCTTTTGCAACCTATGGTGGAAAAGGAAACACCTTCACATAAAAACTATATAGAAGCATTCCGAAAAACTTCTTTGTGATGTGTGCATTCATCTCACAGAGTTGAACCTATCTAATGATTGAGCAGTTTTGAAACACTCATTTTGTAGAACCTGGAAGTGGATATTGGGAGTAGTTTGTGGCCTTCTTTGGAAAAGGAAATATCTTCACATGAAAACTACAAAGAAGCATTCTGAGAAACTTCTTTGTGATGTGTGCATGCATCTCACAGTGTTGGACGTTTCTTTTGATGGGGCAGTTTCGAAAGAGTCTTCTTGTAGAGTCTGCAAGTGGATATTTGGAGCGCTTTGAGGCCTAATGTGGAAAATCAAATATCTTCACATAAAAACTACACAGAGGCATTCTGAGAAACTTCTTTTTTGTGTGTGCATTCAACTCACATAGTTGAAGTTATCTTTCGATTTAGCTGTTTTGAATCTCCTTTTTGCAGAATCTGCAAGTTGATACCTGGAGCCCTGTTTCACCCTATAGTGGAAAAGCAAATATCTTCACATAAACAAACACTACAGAGAAGCATTCAGAGAAAGTCCTTTGTGATGTGTGCATTGAACACGCAGAGTTGAAACTATCTTTTGATTGTACAGTTTTGAATATCTCTTTTTGTAGAATCTGCAAGTGGAAGTTTGGAGCTGTTTGCACGCTGTGGTGCAAAAGGAAATATCTTCATATAAAAACTACACAGAAGCTTTCAGAGAGACTTCTTTGTGAGGAATGCGTTCCTCACACAGAGTTGAATCTACCTTTTTATTGAGTAGTTTTGAAACCCTCTTTTTGCAGAATAACCAGGGGGATATTTGGAGAGCTTTGAGGCCTGTTTTGGAAAAGGAAATATCTTCAAATTAAAACCACACAGAAAGCATTCTGAGAAACTTCTTTGTGATGTGTGCATTCAACTCTCAGAGTTGAACGTGTCTTATGATGGAGCAGTTTGGAAACACTCTTTTTGTAGAAACTGCAAGTGGATATGTAGAGCGATTTGAGGCCTACTGTGGAAAAGCAAATATCTTCACATAACAACTACACAGAAGCACTCCTAGAAACTTCTTTGTGATGTGTGAATTCAACTCACAGAGCTGAACCTATCTTTTGATGGAGTAGCTTAGAATGTCTCTTTTTTTAGAATCTGCACGTGGATATTTGGAGCGCTTTGAGACCTAAAGTGGAAAAGCAAATATCTTCACATAAAATCTACATAGAGGCACTCTAAGAAACTTCTTTTTGATGTGTGCATTCAACTCACAGAGCGGAAGCACACAGTGCTTGAGTGACCAGTTTTGAATCTCTCTTTTTGTACAATCTGCAAGTGGATATTGGGAGCCCTTTGCGGCCTGTGGTGGAAAAGGAAATATCTTCAAATAAAAACTACACAGAAGCATTCTGAGAAACTTCTTTGTGATGTGTACATTCATCTCACAGAGTTGACAATTTCTTTTGATTGAGCAGTTTTGAAACACTGCTTTTGTAGAGTCTGGAAGTTGATATTTGGAGGGCTTTGAGGTCTATTTCGGAAAAGAAAATATCTTCACTTAAAAACTAGGCAGAAATACTGTGAGAAACTTCTTTGTTATGTGAGCATTCAACTCACAGAGCTGAACCTATCTTTTGATTGAGCAGTTTTGAATCTCTCATTTTGCAGAATCTGCAAGGGGATATTTGGAGCCCTTTGCTACCTAGGGTGGAAAAGGAAATACCTCCAAATAAAAACTACACAGAGGCATTCTGAGAAACTTCTTGTGATTGTGCATTCAACTCACAGAGTTAAACCTATCTTATGATTGACCAGTTTTGGAACACTGTTTTCACAGGATCTGCAAGTGGATATTTGGTGTGCTTTGAGGCCTATCGTTGAAAAGCAAGTAACTTCAGATAAAAACTATACAGAAGCATTCTGAGAAACTTCTTTGTGATGTGTGCATTGATCTCACAGAGTTGAAAGTGTATTTTGATTGAGCAGTTTTAAAACACTCCTTCTGTAGAATCTGCAAGTGGATAATTGGAGAGATTTGAGGTATGTTGTGGAAAAGCAAATATCTTCATATAAAAACTATACAGAAGCCTTCTGAGAAACATCTTTGTGAGGTTTGCATTCAACTCACAGAGCTGGACCTATCTCTTGAGTGACCAGTTTTGAATCTCTCTTTTTGTTCAATCTGCAAGTGGATATTTGGAGCGATTTGAGGCCTACATTTGAAAATCAAATATCTTCCCTTAAAAACTACACAGAAACATTCTCAGAAATTGTTTGTCATGTGGGCTTTCAAATTACCAAGTTGAACCTATCTTGTGATTGAGCAGTTCTGAATCTCTCTTTTTGTGGAATCTGCAAATGGATATTTTTAGCCCTTTGCGGACTGTGGTGGAAAAGGAATTATCTTCAAATCCATTCTACACAGAAGCATTCAGACAAACTTCTTGGTGATGAGTGCATTGGTCACACAGAATTGAACCTCTCCTTTGATTGAGCAATTCTGAAACACTCTTTCAGAGGGTCTGCAAGTGGATATTTTAGAGCTTTGGGACAATTGTGGAAAAGTAAATATCTTCACATAGAAACTACACGGAAGCATTCTGAGAAACTTCTTTGGAGGTGTGCATTCAACTCACAGAGTTGAACCTATCTTTTCATTGAGCAGTTTTGAATCTCTCTTTTTGTAGACTCTGCTTGCAGATATTTGGAGAGCTTTGAGGCCTATTGTGGAAAAGGGAATATGTTCACATAAAAACACACAGAAGAACTCTGAGAAACTTCTTTGTGAGGTGTGCATTCAACTCACAGAGTTGAACCTATCTTTTGATGGAGAAGTTTTGAATCTCTCTTTTTGTAGAAGCTGCATGTGGATATTTGGAGACGTTTGTGGCCTATGGTAGAAAAGGATATATCTTCAAATAAAAACTAGACAGAAGCATTTTGAGAAAATTCTCTGTGCTGTGTGCATTCATATCACATGGTTGAAACTACCTTTTGATTGAGCAGTTTCGAGTCTCTCTGTTTGTACCATCTGCAATGGATATTTGGAGCCCTTTGTGGTCTGTGGTGGAAAAGGAACTATCCTCAAATAAAAACTACACGGAAGTATTCTGAGAAACTTCTTTGTGATGTGTGCATTTATCTCACAGAGTTGAACCTTTGGTTTGATTGAGCAGTTTTGAGATAATCTTTCCATAGAATCTGGAAGTGAATACTTGGATAACTTTGAGATCTATTTTGGAGAAGGAGATATCTTTATATAAAAACTGCACAGAAGCATTCTGAGAAACATCTTTGTGAGGTGTGCAATGAAGTCACAGAGTTGAAACTGTCTTTTGATTCAGCAGTTTTGAGTCTCTCTTTTTGCAGAATCTGCGAGTGGATATCTGGAGAACGTTGAGGCCTACTTGGAAAAGGAAATATCTTCACATAAAAACTACGCAGAAGCATTTTGAGATACTTCTTTGTGAGGTGTGCATTCAACTCACAGAGTTGAACTTATCTTTCCATGGAGCACTTTCATATCTCTTTTTTTGTGGAATCTGCAAGTGGATATTTGGAGCTCTTTGCACCCTGTGGTGGAAAGGGAAATATCTTCATATAAAAACTACAAAGAAGCATTCAGAGAAACTTCTTTGTGATGAATGCATTCCTCACACAGAGTTGAGCCTTTCTTTTTATTGAGCAGTATTGAAACGCTCCTTTTGCAGAATCACCAAGTGGATATTTGGAGAGCTTTGGGGCCTGATTTGGAAAATGAAATATCTTCAAAGTAAAACTACACAGAACCATTCTGAGAAACTTCTTCATGATGTGAGCATTCAACTCTCAGAGTTGAAGCTACCTTATGATTGAGCAATTTGGAAACACTCTTTTTGTAGAGCCTGCAAGTGGATATTTAGAACGATTTGAGGCCTATTGTGGAAAAGCAAATATCTTCACATAAAAACTACACAGAAGCATTCTCAGAGACTTCTTTGGGATGTGTGCATTCAACTAACAGTGTTGAACCTATCTTTTGATTGAGCAGCTTAGAATCTCTCCTTTTGTAGAAAATGCAAGTAGAGATTTGGAGCCCCATTTTGCCCTATGGTAGAAAACAGAACATCTTCACATAAAAACTACACAGAAGCATTCTGAGAAACTTCTTTGTGATGTTTGCATTGAACTCCCAGAGTCGAACCTATCTTTTGATAGAGCAGTTTTGTATCTCTCTTTTTGCAGAATCTGCAAGTGGATATTTGGAAAGCTTGAGGCCTATTGTGAAAAAGGAAATATCTTCACATAGAAACTACAGAGAAGCATTCTGAGAAACTTCTCTGTGAGGCATGGATTCAACCCACAGAGTTGGACTTATCATTGAGCAGTTTTGAATCTCTCTTTTGGTCGAATCTGCAAGTGGATATTTGGAGCCCTTTTGCAACCTATGGTGGAAAAGGAAACACCTTCACATAAAAACTATATAGAAGCATTCCGAAAAACTTCTTTGTGATGTGTGCATTCATCTCACAGAGTTGAACCTATCTAATGATTGAGCAGTTTTGAAACACTCATTTTGTAGAACCTGGAAGTGGATATTGGGAGTAGTTTGTGGCCTTCTTTGGAAAAGGAAATATCTTCACATGAAAACTACAAAGAAGCATTCTGAGAAACTTCTTTGTGATGTGTGCATGCATCTCACAGTGTTGGACGTTTCTTTTGATGGGGCAGTTTCGAAAGAGTCTTCTTGTAGAGTCTGCAAGTGGATATTTGGAGCGCTTTGAGGCCTAATGTGGAAAATCAAATATCTTCACATAAAAACTACACAGAGGCATTCTGAGAAACTTCTTTTTTGTGTGTGCATTCAACTCACATAGTTGAAGTTATCTTTGGATTTAGCTGTTTTGAATCTCCTTTTTGCAGAATCTGCAAGTTGATACATGGAGCCCTGTTTCACCCTATAGTGGAAAAGCAAATCTCTTCACATAAACAAACACTACAGAGAAGCATTCAGAGAAAGTCCTTTGTGATGTGTGCATTGAACACGCAGAGTTGAAACTATCTTTTGATTGTACAGTTTTGAATATCTCTTTTTGTAGAATCTGCAAGTGGAAGTTTGGAGCTGTTTGCACGCTGTGGTGCAAAAGGAAATATCTTCATATAAAAACTACACAGAAGCTTTCAGAGAGACTTCTTTGTGAGGAATGCGTTCCTCACACAGAGTTGAATCTTCCTTTTTATTGAGTAGTTTTGAAACCCTCTTTTTGCAGAATAACCAGGGGGATATATGGAGAGTTTTGAGGCCTGTTTTGGAAAAGGAAACATCTTCAAATTAAAACCACACAGAAGCTTTCTGAGAAACTTCTTTGTGATGTGTGCATTCAACACTCAGAGTTCAACGTACCTTATGATGGAGCAGTTTGGAAACACTCTTTTTGTAGAAACTGCAAGTGGATATGTAGAGCGATTTGAGGCCTACTGTGGAAAAGCAAATATCTTCACATAACAACTACACAGAAGCACTCCTAGAAACTTCTTTGTGATGTGTGAATTCAACTCACAGAGCTGAACCTATCTTTTGATGGAGTAGCTTAGAATCTCTCTTTTTTTAGAATCTGCACGTGGATATTTGGGGCGCTTTGAGACCTGAAGTGGAAAAGCAAATATCTTCATATAAAATCTACGTAGAGGCACTCTAAGAAACTTCTTTTTGATGTGTGCATTCAACTCACAGAGCTGAAGCACACAGTGCTTGAGTGACCAGTTTTGAATCTCTCTTTTTGTACAATCTGCAAGTGGATATTGGGAGCCCTTTGCGGCCTGTGGTGGAAAAGGAAATATCTTCAAATAAAAACTACACAGAAGCATTCTGAGAAACTTCTTTGTGATGTGTACATTCATCTCACAGAGTTGACAATTTCTTTTGATTGAGCAGTTTTGAAACACTGCTTTTGTAGAGTCTGGAAGTTGATATTTGGAGGGCTTTGAGGTCTATTTCGGAAAAGAAAATATCTTCACTTAAAAACTAGGCAGAAATACTGTGAGAAACTTCTTTGTTATGTGAGCATTCAACTCACAGAGCTGAACCTATCTTTTGATTGAGCAGTTTTGAATCTCTCATTTTGCAGAATCTGCAAGGGGATATTTGGAGCCCTTTGCTACCTAGGGTGGAAAAGGAAATACCTCCAAATAAAAACTACACAGAGGCATTCTGAGAAACTTCTTGTGATTGTGCATTCAACTCACAGAGTTAAACCTATCTTATGATTGACCAGTTTTGGAACACTGTTTTCACAGGATCTGCAAGTGGATATTTGGTGTGCTTTGAGGCCTATCGTGGAAAAACAAGTAACTTCAGATAAAAACTATACAGAAGCATTCTGAGAAACTTCTTTGTGATGTGTGCATTGATCTCACAGAGTTGAAAGTGTATTTTGATTGAGCAGTTTTGAAACACTCTTTTTGTAGAATCTGCAAGTGGATAATTGGGGAGATTTGAGGTATATTGTGGAAAAGCAAGTATCTTCATATAAAAACTATACAGAAGCTTTCTGAGAAACATCTTTGTGAGGTTTGCATTCAACTCACAGAGCTGGAACTATCTTTTGAGTGACCAGTTTTGAATCTCTCTTTTTGTACAATCTGCAAGTGGATATTTGGAGCGTTTTGAGGCCTACATTTGAAAATCAAATATCTTCCCTTAAAAGCTACACAGAAACATTCTCAGAAATTGTTTGTCATGTGTGCTTTCAAATTACCAAGTTGAACCTACCTTGTGATTGAGCAGTTTTGAATCTCTCTTTTTGTGGAATCTGCAAGTGGATATTTTTAGCCATTTGCGGACTGTGGTGGAAAAGGAATTATCTTCAAATCCATTCTACACAGAAGCATTCAGACAAACTTTTTGTGATGAGTGCATTGGTCACACAGAATTGAACCTCTCCTTTGAGCAATTCTGAAACACTCTTTCAGAGGGTCTGCAAGTGGATATTTTAGAGCTTTGGGACAATTGTGGAAAAGTAAATATCTTCACATAGAAACTACACGGAAGCATTCTGAGAAACTTCTTTGGAGGTGTGCATTCAACTCACAGAGTTGAACCTATCTTTTCATTGAGCAGTTTTGAATCTCTCTTTTTGTAGACTCTGCTTGCAGATATTTGGAGAGCTTTGAGGCCTATTGTGGAAAAGGAATCATCTTCACATAAAAACACACAGAAGCACTCTGAGAAACTTCTTTGTGAAGTGTGCATTCAACTCACAGAGTTGAACCTATCTTTTGATTGAGAAGCTTTGAATCTCTCTTTTTGTAGAAGCTGCATGTGGATATTTGGAGACGTTTGTGGCCTATGGTAGAAAAGGCAATATCTTCAAATAAAAACTAGACAGAAGCATTTTGAGAAATTTCTCTGTGCTGTGTGCATTCATATCACATGGTTGAAACTACCTTTTGGTTGAGCAGTTTTGAATCTCTCTTTTTGTAACATCTGCAATGGATATTTGGAGCCCTTTGTGGTCTGTGGTGGAAAAGGAACTATCCTCAAATAAAAACTACACAGAAGTATTCCGAGAAACTTCCTTGTGATGTGTGCATTCATCTCACAGGGTTGAACCTTTGGTTTGATTGAGCAGTTTTGAGACAATCTTTCCATAGAATCTGGAAGTGAATATTTGGAGAACCTTGAGATCTATTTTGGAGAAGGAGATATCTTTATATGAAAACTGCACAGAAGCATTCTGAGAAACATCTTTGTGAGGTGTGCAATGAAGTCACAGAGTTGAAACTATGTTTTGATTCAGCAGTTTTGAGTCTCTCTTTTTGCAGAATCTGCGAGTGGATATCTGGAGAACTTGGAGGCCTATTTGGAAAAGGAAATATCTTCACATATAAACTATGCAGAAGCATTTTGAGATTCTTCCTTGTGAGGTGTGCATGCAACTCACAGAGTTGAACTTATCTTTTCCTTGAGCACTTTCATATCTCATTTTCTGTAGAATCTGCAAGTGGATATTTGGAGCTCTTTGCACCCTGTGGTGGAAAGGGAACTATCTTCATATAAAAACTACAAAGAAGCATTCAGAGAAACTTCTTGTGATGAATGCATTCCTCACACAGAGCTGAACCTTTCTTTTTATGGAGCAGTATTGAAACGCTCTTTTTGCAGAATCACCAAGTGGATATTTGGAGAGCTTTGGGGCCTGTTTTGGAAAATGAAATATCTTCAAAGTAAAACTACACAGAACCATTCTGAGAAACTTCTTTATGATGTGTGCATTCAACTCTCAGAGTTGAACCTACCTTATGATTGAGCAATTTGGAAACACTCTCTTTGTAGAGCCTGCAAGTGGATATTTAGAACGATTTGAGGCCTATTGTGGAAAAGCAAATATCTTCACATAAAAACTACACAGAAGCATTCTGAGAAACTTCTTTGGCATGTGTGCATTCAACTAACAGTGTTGAACGTATCTTTTGATTGAGCAGCTTAGAATCTCTCTTTTTGTAGAAAATGCAAGTAGATATTTGGAGCCCCATTTTGCCCTATGGTAGAAAACAAAACATCTTCACATAAAATCTACACAGAAGCATTCTGAGAAACTTCTTTGTGATGTTTGCATTGAACTCCCAGAGTCGAACCTATCTTTTGATAGAGCACTTTTGTATCTCTCTTTTTGCGGAATCTGCAAGTGGATATTTGGAAAGCTTGAGGCCTATTGTGAAAAAGGAAATATCTTCACATAAAAACTACAGAGAAGCATTCTGAGAAACTTCTTTGTGAGGCATGGATTCAACCCACAGAGTTGGACTTATCATTGAGCAGTTTTGAATCTCTCTTTTTGTCGAATCTGCAAGTGGATATTTGGAGCCCTTTGTAACCTAGGGTGGAAAAGGAAATACCTTCAAATAAAAACTATATAGAAGCATTCCGTAAAACTTCTTTGTGACGTGTGCATTCGTCTCACAGAGTTGAACCTATCTAATGATTGAGCGGTTTTGAAACACTCATTTTGTAGAACCTGCAAGTGGATATTGGGAGTACTTTGTGGCCTTCTTTGGAAAAGGGAATATCTTCACATAAAAACTACAAAGAAGCATTCTGAGAAACTTCTTTGTGATGTGTGCATTCATCTCACAGTGTTGGACGTTTCTTTTGATAGGGCAGTTTTGAAACACTCTTTTTCTAGAATCTGCAAGTGGATATTTGGAGCGCTTTGAGGCCTAATGTGGAAAATCAAATATCTTCACATAAAAACTACACAGAGGCATTCTGAGAAACTTCTTTTTTGTGTGTGCATTCAACTCACATAGTTGAAGTAATCTTTGGATTTAGCTGTTTTGAATCTCCTTTTTGCAGAATCTGCAAGTTGATACTTGGAGCCCTGTTTCACCCTATAGTGGAAAAGCAAATATCTTCACATAAACAAACCCTACAGAGAAGCATTCAGAGAAAGTCCTTTGTGATGTGTGCATTGAACATGCAGAGTTGACACTATCTTTTGATTGTACAGTTTTGAATACGTCTTTTTGTAGAATCTGCAAGTGGAAGTTTGGAGCTGTTTGCACCCTGTGGTGTAAAAGGAAATATCTTCATATAAAAGCTACACAGAAGCATTCAGAAAGACTTCTTTGTGATGAATGCGTTCCTCACACAGAGTTGAATCTTCCTTTTTATTGAGTAGTATTGAAACCCTCTTTTTGCAGAATAACCAGGTGGATATTCGGAGAGCTTTGAGGTCTGTTTTGGAAAAGGAAATATCTTCAAATTAAAACCACACAGAAGCATTCTGAGAAGCTTCTTTGTGATGTGTGCATTCAACTCTCAGAGTTCAACGTGTCTTATGATGGGAGCAGTTTGGAAACACTCTTTTTTGTAGAAACTGCAAGTGGATATGTAGAGCGATTTGAGGCCTACTGTGGAAAAGCAAATATCTTCACATAACAACTACACAGAAGCACTCCTAGAAACTTCTTTGTGATGTGTGAATTCAACTCACAGAGCTGAACCTATCTTTTGATGGAGTAGCTTAGAATCTCTCTTTTTTTAGAATCTGCACGTGGATATTTGGAGCGCTTTGAGACCTAAAGTGGAAAAGCAAATATCTTCACATAAAATCTACATAGAGGCACTCTAAGAAACTTCTTTTTGATGTGTGCATTCACCTCACAGAGCTGAACCGATCCTTCGAGTGACCAGTTTTGAATCTCTCTTTTTATACAATCTGCAAGTGGATATTTGGAGCCCTTTGCGGCCTATGGTGGAAAAGGAAATATCTTCAAATAAAAACTACACAGAAGAAACTTCTTTGTTATGTGAGCATTCAACTCACAGAGTTGAACCTATCTTTTGATTGAGCAGTTTTGAATCTCTCATTTTGCAGAATCTGCAAGGGGATATTTGGAGCCCTTTGCGGCCTATGGTGGAAAAGGAAATACCTTCAAATGAAAAGCACACAGAGGCATTCTGAGAAACTTCCTCGTGATTGTGCATTCAACTCACAGAGTTAAACCTATCTTATGATTGACCAGTTTTGGAACACTCTTTTCATAGGATCTGCAAGTGGATATTTGGCGTGCTTTGAGGCCTATCGTGGAAAAGCAAATAACTTCAGATAAAAACTATACAGAAGCATTCTGAGAAACTTCTTTGTGATGTGTGCATTGATCTCACAGAGTTGAAAGTGTATTTTGATTGAGCAGTTTTGAAACACTCTTTTTGTAGAATCTGCAAGTGGATAATTGGGGAGATTTGAGGTATATTGTGGAAAAGCAAGTATCTTCATATAAAAACTATACAGAAGCTTTCTGAGAAACATCTTTGTGAGGTTTGCATTCAACTCACAGAGCTGGAACTATCTTTTGAGTGACCAGTTTTGAATCTCTCTTTTTGTACAATCTGCAAGTGGATATTTGGAGCGTTTTGAGGCCTACATTTGAAAATCAAATATCTTCCCTTAAAAGCTACACAGAAACATTCTCAGAAATTGTTTGTCATGTGTGCTTTCAAATTACCAAGTTGAACCTACCTTGTGATTGAGCAGTTTTGAATCTCTCTTTTTGTGGAATCTGCAAGTGGATATTTTTAGCCATTTGCGGACTGTGGTGGAAAAGGAATTATCTTCAAATCCATTCTACACAGAAGCATTCAGACAAACTTTTTGTGATGAGTGCATTGGTCACACAGAATTGAACCTCTCCTTTGATTGAGCAATTCTGAAACACTCTTTCAGAGGGTCTGCAAGTGGATATTTTAGAGCTTTGGGACAATTGTGGAAAAGTAAATATCTTCACATAGAAACTACACGGAAGCATTCTGAGAAACTTCTTTGGAGGTGTGCATTCAACTCACAGAGTTGAACCTATCTTTTCATTGAGCAGTTTTGAATCTCTCTTTTTGTAGACTCTGCTTGCAGATACTTGGAGAGCTTTGAGGCCTATTGTGGAAAAGGAATCATCTTCACATAAAAACACACAGAAGCACTCTGAGAAACTTCTTTGTGAAGTGTGCATTCAACTCACAGAGTTGAACCTATCTTTTGATTGAGAAGCTTTGAATCTCTCTTTTTGTAGAAGCTGCATGTGGATATTTGGAGACGTTTGTGGCCTATGGTAGAAAAGGCAATATCTTCAAATAAAAACTAGACAGAAGCATTTTGAGAAATTTCTCTGTGCTGTGTGCATTCATATCACATGGTTGAAACTACCTTTTGGTTGAGCAGTTTTGAATCTCTCTTTTTGTACCATCTGCAATGGATATTTGGAGCCCTTTGTGGTCTGTGGTGGAAAAGGAACTATCCTCAAATAAAAACTACACAGAAGTATTCCGAGAAACTTCCTTGTGATGTGTGCATTCATCTCACAGGGTTGAACCTTTGGTTTGATTGAGCAGTTTTGAGACAATCTTTCCATAGAATCTGGAAGTGAATATTTGGAGAACCTTGAGATCTATTTTGGAGAAGGAGATATCTTTATATGAAAACTGCACAGAAGCATTCTGAGAAACATCTTTGTGAGGTGTGCAATGAAGTCACAGAGTTGAAACTATGTTTTGATTCAGCAGTTTTGAGTCTCTCTTTTTGCAGAATCTGCGAGTGGATATCTGGAGAACTTGGAGGCCTATTTGGAAAAGGAAATATCTTCACATATAAACTATGCAGAAGCATTTTGAGATTCTTCTTTGTGAGGTGTGCATGCAACTCACAGAGTTGAACTTATCTTTTCCTTGAGCACTTTCATATCTCATTTTCTGTAGAATCTGCAAGTGGATATTTGGAGCTCTTTGCACCCTGTGGTGGAAAGGGAACTATCTTCATATAAAAACTACAAAGAAGCATTCAGAGAAACTTCTTGTGATGAATGCATTCCTCACACAGAGCTGAACCTTTCTTTTTATGGAGCAGTATTGAAACGCTCTTTTTGCAGAATCACCAAGTGGATATTTGGAGAGCTTTGGGGCCTGTTTTGGAAAATGAAATATCTTCAAAGTAAAACTACACAGAACCATTCTGAGAAACTTCTTTATGATGTGTGCATTCAACTCTCAGAGTTGAACCTACCTTATGATTGAGCAATTTGGAAACACTCTTTTTGTAGAGCCTGCAAGTGGATATTTAGAACGATTTGAGGCCTATTGTGGAAAAGCAAATATCTTCACATAAAAACTACACAGAAGCATTCTGAGAAACTTCTTTGGCATGTGTGCATTCAACTAACAGTGTTGAACGTATCTTTTGATTGAGCAGCTTAGAATCTCTCTTTTTGTAGAAAATGCAAGTAGATATTTGGAGCCCCATTTTGCCCTATGGTAGAAAACAAAACATCTTCACATAAAATCTACACAGAAGCATTCTGAGAAACTTCTTTGTGATGTTTGCATTGAACTCCCAGAGTCGAACCTATCTTTTGATAGAGCACTTTTGTATCTCTCTTTTTTGCGGAATCTGCAAGTGGATATTTGGAAAGCTTGAGGCCTATTGTGAAAAAGGAAATATCTTCACATAAAAACTACAGAGAAGCATTCTGAGAAACTTCTTTGTGAGGCATGGATTCAACCCACAGAGTTGGACTTATCATTGAGCAGTTTTGAATCTCTCTTTTTGTCGAATCTGCAAGTGGATATTTGGAGCCCTTTGCAACCTAGGGTGGAAAAGGAAATACCTTCAAATAAAAACTATATAGAAGCATTCCGTAAAACTTCTTTGTGATGTGTGCATTCGTCTCACAGAGTTGAACCTATCTAATGATTGAGCGGTTTTGAAACACTCATTTTGTAGAACCTGCAAGTGGTTATTGGGAGTACTTTGTGGCCTTCTTTGGAAAAGGGAATATCTTCACATAAAAACTACAAAGAAGCATTCTGAGAAACTTCTTTGTGATGTGCGCATTCATCTCACAGTGTTGGACGTTTCTTTTGATAGGGCAGTTTTGAAACACTCTTTTTCTAGAATCTGCAAGTGGATATTTGGAGCGCTTTGAGGCCTAATGTGGAAAATCAAATATCTTCACATAAAAACTACACAGAGGCATTCTGAGAAACTTCTTTTTTGTGTGTGCATTCAACTCACATAGTTGAAGTAATCTTTGGATTTAGCTGTTTTGAATCTCCTTTTTGCAGAATCTGCAAGTTGATACTTGGAGCCCTGTTTCACCCTATAGTGGAAAAGCAAATATCTTCACATAAACAAACCCTACAGAGAAGCATTCAGAGAAAGTCCTTTGTGATGTGTGCATTGAACATGCACAGTTGACACTATCTTTTGATTGTACAGTTTTGAATACGTCTTTTTGTAGAATCTGCAAGTGGAAGTTTGGAGCTGTTTGCACCCTGTGGTGTAAAAGGAAATATCTTCATATAAAAGCTACACAGAAAGCATTCAGAAAGACTTCTTTGTGATGAATGCGTTCCTCACACAGAGTTGAATCTTCCTTTTTATTGAGTAGTATTGAAACCCTCTTTTTGCAGAATAACCAGGTGGATATTTGGAGAGCTTTGAGGCCTGTTTTGGAAAAGCAAATATCTTCAAATTAAAACCACACAGAAGCATTCTGAGAAGCTTCTTTGTGATGTGTGCATTCAACTCTCAGAGTTCAACGTGTCTTATGATGGAGCAGTTTGGAAACACTCTTTTTTGTAGAAACTGCAAGTGGATATGTAGAGCGATTTGAGGCCTACTGTGGAAAAGCAAATATCTTCACATAACAACTACACAGAAGCACTCCTAGAAACTTCTTTGTGATGTGTGAATTCAACTCACAGAGCTGAACCTATCTTTTGATGGAGTAGCTTAGAATCTCTCTTTTTTTAGAATCTGCACGTGGATATTTGGAGCGCTTTGAGACCTAAAGTGGAAAAGCAAATATCTTCACATAAAATCTACATAGAGGCACTCTAAGAAACTTCTTTTTGATGTGTGCATTCACCTCACAGAGCTGAACCGATCCTTCGAGTGACCAGTTTTGAATCTCTCTTTTTATACAATCTGCAAGTGGATATTTGGAGCCCTTTGCGGCCTATGGTGGAAAAGGAAATATCTTCAAATAAAAACTACACAGAAGAAACTTCTTTGTTATGTGAGCATTCAACTCACAGAGTTGAACCTATCTTTTGATTGAGCAGTTTTGAATCTCTCATTTTGCAGAATCTGCAAGGGGATATTTGGAGCCCTTTGCGGCCTATGGTGGAAAAGGAAATACCTTCAAATGAAAAGCACACAGAGGCATTCTGAGAAACTTCCTCGTGATTGTGCATTCAACTCACAGAGTTAAACCTATCTTATGATTGACCAGTTTTGGAACACTCTTTTCATAGGATCTGCAAGTGGATATTTGGCGTGCTTTGAGGCCTATCGTGGAAAAGCAAATAACTTCAGATAAAAACTATACAGAAGCATTCTGAGAAACTTCTTTGTGATGTGTGCATTGATCTCACAGAGTTGAAAGTGTATTTTGATTGAGCAGTTTTGAAACACTCTTTTTGTAGAATCTGCAAGTGGATAATTGGGGAGATTTGAGGTATATTGTGGAAAAGCAAGTATCTTCATATAAAAACTATACAGAAGCTTTCTGAGAAACATCTTTGTGAGGTTTGCATTCAACTCACAGAGCTGGAACTATCTTTTGAGTGACCAGTTTTGAATCTCTCTTTTTGTACAATCTGCAAGTGGATATTTGGAGCGTTTTGAGGCCTACATTTGAAAATCAAATATCTTCCCTTAAAAGCTACACAGAAACATTCTCAGAAATTGTTTGTCATGTGTGCTTTCAAATTACCAAGTTGAACCTACCTTGTGATTGAGCAGTTTTGAATCTCTCTTTTTGTGGAATCTGCAAGTGGATATTTTTAGCCATTTGCGGACTGTGGTGGAAAAGGAATTATCTTCAAATCCATTCTACACAGAAGCATTCAGACAAACTTTTTGTGATGAGTGCATTGGTCACACAGAATTGAACCTCTCCTTTGATTGAGCAATTCTGAAACACTCTTTCAGAGGGTCTGCAAGTGGATATTTTAGAGCTTTGGGACAATTGTGGAAAAGTAAATATCTTCACATAGAAACTACACGGAAGCATTCTGAGAAACTTCTTTGGAGGTGTGCATTCAACTCACAGAGTTGAACCTATCTTTTCATTGAGCAGTTTTGAATCTCTCTTTTTGTAGACTCTGCTTGCAGATATTTGGAGAGCTTTGAGGCCTATTGTGGAAAAGGAATCATCTTCACATAACAACACACAGAAGCACTCTGAGAAACTTCTTTGTGAAGTGTGCATTCAACTCACAGAGTTGAACCTATCTTTTGATTGAGAAGCTTTGAATCTCTCTTTTTGTAGAAGCTGCATGTGGATATTTGGAGACGTTTGTGGCCTATGGTAGAAAAGGCAATATCTTCAAATAAAAACTAGACAGAAGCATTTTGAGAAATTTCTCTGTGCTGTGTGCATTCATATCACATGGTTGAAACTACCTTTTGGTTGAGCAGTTTTGAATCTCTCTTTTTGTAACATCTGCAATGGATATTTGGAGCCCTTTGTGGTCTGTGGTGGAAAAGGAACTATCCTCAAATAAAAACTACACAGAAGTATTCCGAGAAACTTCCTTGTGATGTGTGCATTCTTCTCACAGGGTTGAACCTTTGGTTTGATTGAGCAGTTTTGAGACAATCTTTCCATAGAATCTGGAAGTGAATATTTGGAGAACCTTGAGATCTATTTTGGAGAAGGAGATATCTTTATATGAAAACTGCACAGAAGCATTCTGAGAAACATCTTTGTGAGGTGTGCAATGAAGTCACAGAGTTGAAACTATGTTTTGATTCAGCAGTTTTGAGTCTCTCTTTTTGCAGAATCTGCGAGTGGATATCTGGAGAACTTGGAGGCCTATTTGGAAAAGGAAATATCTTCACATATAAACTATGCAGAAGCATTTTGAGATTCTTCTTTGTGAGGTGTGCATTCAACTCACAGAGTTGAACTTATCTTTTCCTTGAGCACTTTCATATCTCATTTTCTGTAGAATCTGCAAGTGGATATTTGGAGCTCTTTGCACCCTGTGGTGGAAAGGGAACTATCTTCATATAAAAACTACAAAGAAGCATTCAGAGAAACTTCTTGTGATGAATGCATTCCTCACACAGAGCTGAACCTTTCTTTTTATGGAGCAGTATTGAAACGCTCTTTTTGCAGAATCACCAAGTGGATATTTGGAGAGCTTTGGGGCCTGTTTTGGAAAATGAAATATCTTCAAAGTAAAACTACACAGAACCATTCTGAGAAACTTCTTTATGATGTGTGCATTCAACTCTCAGAGTTGAACCTACCTTATGATTGAGCAATTTGGAAACACTCTTTTTGTAGAGCCTGCAAGTGGATATTTAGAACGATTTGAGGCCTATTGTGGAAAAGCAAATATCTTCACATAAAAACTACACAGAAGCATTCTGAGAAACTTCTTTGGCATGTGTGCATTCAACTAACAGTGTTGAACGTATCTTTTGATTGAGCAGCTTAGAATCTCTCTTTTTGTAGAAAATGCAAGTAGATATTTGGAGCCCCATTTTGCCCTATGGTAGAAAACAAAACATCTTCACATAAAATCTACACAGAAGCATTCTGAGAAACTTCTTTGTGATGTTTGCATTGAACTCCCAGAGTCGAACCTATCTTTTGATAGAGCACTTTTGTATCTCTCTTTTTGCGGAATCTGCAAGTGGATATTTGGAAAGCTTGAGGCCTATTGTGAAAAAGGAAATATCTTCACATAAAAACTACAGAGAAGCATTCTGAGAAACTTCTTTGTGAGGCATGGATTCAACCCACAGAGTTGGACTTATCATTGAGCAGTTTTGAATCTCTCTTTTTGTCGAATCTGCAAGTGGATATTTGGAGCCCTTTGCAACCTAGGGTGGAAAAGGAAATACCTTCAAATAAAAACTATATAGAAGCATTCCGTAAAACTTCTTTGTGACGTGTGCATTCGTCTCACAGAGTTGAACCTATCTAATGATTGAGCGGTTTTGAAACACTCATTTTGTAGAACCTGCAAGTGGATATTGGGAGTACTTTGTGGCCTTCTTTGGAAAAGGGAATATCTTCACATAAAAATTACAAAGAAGCATTCTGAGAAACTTCTTTGTGATGTGTGCATTCATCTCACAGTGTTGGACGTTTCTTTTGATAGGGCAGTTTTGAAACACTCTTTTTCTAGAATCTGCAAGTGGATATTTAGAGCGCTTTGAGGCCTAATGTGGAAAATCAAATATCTTCACATAAAAACTACACAGAGGCATTCTGAGAAACTTCTTTTTTGTGTGTGCATTCAACTCACATAGTTGAAGTAATCTTTGGATTTAGCTGTTTTGAATCTCCTTTTTGCAGAATCTGCAAGTTGATACTTGGAGCCCTGTTTCACCCTATAGTGGAAAAGCAAATATCTTCACATAAACAAACCCTACAGAGAAGCATTCAGAGAAAGTCCTTTGTGATGTGTGCATTGAACATGCAGAGTTGACACTATCTTTTGATTGTACAGTTTTGAATACGTCTTTTTGTAGAATCTGCAAGTGGAAGTTTGGAGCTGTTTGCACCCTGTGGTGTAAAAGGAAATATCTTCATATAAAAGCTACACAGAAGCATTCAGAAAGACTTCTTTGTGATGAATGCGTTCCTCACACAGAGTTGAATCTTCCTTTTTATTGAGTAGTATTGAAACCCTCTTTTTGCAGAATAACCAGGTGGATATTCGGAGAGCTTTGAGGCCTGTTTTGGAAAAGGAAATATCTTCAAATTAAAACCACACAGAAGCATTCTGAGAAGCTTCTTTGTGATGTGTGCATTCAACTCTCAGAGTTGAACGTGTCTTATGATGGAGCAGTTTGGAAACACTCTTTTTGTAGAAACTGCAAGTGGATATGTAGAGCGATTTGAGGCCTACTGTGGAAAAGCAAATATCTTCACATAACAACTACACAGAAGCACTCCTAGAAACTTCTTTGTGATGTGTGAATTCAACTCACAGAGCTGAACCTATCTTTTGATGGAGTAGCTTAGAATCTCTCTTTTTTTAGAATCTGCACGTGGATATTTGGAGCGCTTTGAGACCTAAAGTGGAAAAGCAAATATCTTCACATAAAATCTACATAGAGGCACTCTAAGAAACTTCTTTTTGATGTGTGCATTCACCTCACAGAGCTGAACCGATCCTTTGAGTGACCAGTTTTGAATCTCTCTTTTTGTACAATCTGCAAGTGGATATTTGGAGCCCTTTGCGGCCTATGGTGGAAAAGGAAATATCTTCAAATAAAAACTACACAGAAGAAACTTCTTTGTTATGTGAGCATTCAACTCACAGAGTTGAACCTATCTTTTGATTGAGCAGTTTTGAATCTCTCATTTTGCAGAATCTGCAAGGGGATATTTGGAGCCCTTTGCGGCCTATGGTGGAAAAGGAAATACCTTCAAATGAAAAGCACACAGAGGCATTCTGAGAAACTTCCTCGTGATTGTGCATTCAACTCACAGAGTTAAACCTATCTTATGATTGACCAGTTTTGGAACACTCTTTTCATAGGATCTGCAAGTGGATATTTGGCGTGCTTTGAGGCCTATCGTGGAAAAGCAAACTATACAGAAGCATTCTGAGAAACTTCTTTGTGATGTGTGCATTGATCTCACAGAGTTGAAAGTGTATTTTGATTGAGCAGTTTTGAAACACTCTTTTTGTAGAATCTGCAAGTGGATAATTGGGGAGATTTGAGGTATATTGTGGAAAAGCAAGTATCTTCATATAAAAACTATACAGAAGCTTTCTGAGAAACATCTTTGTGAGGTTTGCATTCAACTCACAGAGCTGGAACTATCTTTTGAGTGACCAGTTTTGAATCTCTCTTTTTGTACAATCTGCAAGTGGATATTTGGAGCGTTTTGAGGCCTACATTTGAAAATCAAATATCTTCCCTTAAAAGCTACACAGAAACATTCTCAGAAATTGTTTGTCATGTGTGCTTTCAAATTACCAAGTTGAACCTACCTTGTGATTGAGCAGTTTTGAATCTCTCTTTTTGTGGAATCTGCAAGTGGATATTTTTAGCCATTTGCGGACTGTGGTGGAAAAGGAATTATCTTCAAATCCATTCTACACAGAAGCATTCAGACAAACTTTTTGTGATGAGTGCATTGGTCACACAGAATTGAACCTCTCCTTTGATTGAGCAATTCTGAAACACTCTTTCAGAGGGTCTGCAAGTGGATATTTTAGAGCTTTGGGACAATTGTGGAAAAGTAAATATCTTCACATAGAAACTACACGGAAGCATTCTGAGAAACTTCTTTGGAGGTGTGCATTCAACTCACAGAGTTGAACCTATCTTTTCATTGAGCAGTTTTGAATCTCTCTTTTTGTAGACTCTGCTTGCAGATACTTGGAGAGCTTTGAGGCCTATTGTGGAAAAGGAATCATCTTCACATAAAAACACACAGAAGCACTCTGAGAAACTTCTTTGTGAAGTGTGCATTCAACTCACAGAGTTGAACCTATCTTTTGATTGAGAAGCTTTGAATCTCTCTTTTTGTAGAAGCTGCATGTGGATATTTGGAGACGTTTGTGGCCTATGGTAGAAAAGGCAATATCTTCAAATAAAAACTAGACAGAAGCATTTTGAGAAATTTCTCTGTGCTGTGTGCATTCATATCACATGGTTGAAACTACCTTTTGGTTGAGCAGTTTTGAATCTCTCTTTTTGTAACATCTGCAATGGATATTTGGAGCCCTTTGTGGTCTGTGGTGGAAAAGGAACTATCCTCAAATAAAAACTACACAGAAGTATTCCGAGAAACTTCCTTGTGATGTGTGCATTCATCTCACAGGGTTGAACCTTTGGTTTGATTGAGCAGTTTTGAGACAATCTTTCCATAGAATCTGGAAGTGAATATTTGGAGAACCTTGAGATCTATTTTGGAGAAGGAGATATCTTTATATGAAAACTGCACAGAAGCATTCTGAGAAACATCTTTGTGAGGTGTGCAATGAAGTCACAGAGTTGAAACTATGTTTTGATTCAGCAGTTTTGAGTCTCTCTTTTTGCAGAATCTGCGAGTGGATATCTGGAGAACTTGGAGGCCTATTTGGAAAAGGAAATATCTTCACATATAAACTATGCAGAAGCATTTTGAGATTCTTCTTTGTGAGGTGTGCATGCAACTCACAGAGTTGAACTTATCTTTTCCTTGAGCACTTTCATATCTCATTTTCTGTAGAATCTGCAAGTGGATATTTGGAGCTCTTTGCACCCTGTGGTGGAAAGGGAACTATCTTCATATAAAAACTACAAAGAAGCATTCAGAGAAACTTCTTGTGATGAATGCATTCCTCACACAGAGCTGAACCTTTCTTTTTATGGAGCAGTATTGAAACGCTCTTTTTGCAGAATCACCAAGTGGATATTTGGAGAGCTTTGGGGCCTGTTTTGGAAAATGAAATATCTTCAAAGTAAAACTACACAGAACCATTCTGAGAAACTTCTTTATGATGTGTGCATTCAACTCTCAGAGTTGAACCTACCTTATGATTGAGCAATTTGGAAACACTCTTTTTGTAGAGCCTGCAAGTGGATATTTAGAACGATTTGAGGCCTATTGTGGAAAAGCAAATATCTTCACATAAAAACTACACAGAAGCATTCTGAGAAACTTCTTTGGCATGTGTGCATTCAACTAACAGTGTTGAACGTATCTTTTGATTGAGCAGCTTAGAATCTCTCTTTTTGTAGAAAATGCAAGTAGATATTTGGAGCCCCATTTTGCCCTATGGTAGAAAACAGAACATCTTCACATAAAAACTACACAGAAGCATTCTGAGAAACTTCTTTGTGATGTTTGCATTGAACTCCCAGAGTCGAACCTATCTTTTGATAGAGCACTTTTGTATCTCTCTTTTTGCGGAATCTGCAAGTGGATATTTGGAAAGCTTGAGGCCTATTGTGAAAAAGGAAATATCTTCACATAAAAACTACAGAGAAGCATTCTGAGAAACTTCTTTGTGAGGCATGGATTCAACCCACAGAGTTGGACTTATCATTGAGCAGTTTTGAATCTCTCTTTTTGTCGAATCTGCAAGTGGATATTTGGAGCCCTTTGCAACCTAGGGTGGAAAAGGAAATACCTTCAAATAAAAACTATATAGAAGCATTCCGTAAAACTTCTTTGTGACGTGTGCATTCGTCTCACAGAGTTGAACCTATCTAATGATTGAGCGGTTTTGAAACACTCATTTGGTAGAACCTGCAAGTGGATATTGGGAGTACTTTGTGGCCTTCTTTGGAAAAGGGAATATCTTCACATAAAAATTACAAAGAAGCATTCTGAGAAACTTCTTTGTGATGTGTGCATTCATCTCACAGTGTTGGACGTTTCTTTTGATAGGGCAGTTTTGAAACACTCTTTTTCTAGAATCTGCAAGTGGATATTTAGAGCGCTTTGAGGCCTAATGTGGAAAATCAAATATCTTCACATAAAAACTACACAGAGGCATTCTGAGAAACTTCTTTTTTGTGTGTGCATTCAACTCACATAGTTGAAGTAATCTTTGGATTTAGCTGTTTTGAATCTCCTTTTTGCAGAATCTGCAAGTTGATACTTGGAGCCCTGTTTTACCCTATAGTGGAAAAGCAAATATCTTCACATAAACAAACCCTACAGAGAAGCATTCAGAGAAAGTCCTTTGTGATGTGTGCATTGAACATGCAGAGTTGACACTATCTTTTGATTGTACAGTTTTGAATACGTCTTTTTGTAGAATCTGCAAGTGGAAGTTTGGAGCTGTTTGCACCCTGTGGTGTAAAAGGAAATATCTTCATATAAAAGCTACACAGAAGCATTCAGAAAGACTTCTTTGTGATGAATGCGTTCCTCACACAGAGTTGAATCTTCCTTTTTATTGAGTAGTATTGAAACCCTCTTTTTGCAGAATAACCAGGTGGATATTCGGAGAGCTTTGAGGCCTGTTTTGGAAAAGGAAATATCTTCAAATTAAAACCACACAGAAGCATTCTGAGAAGCTTCTTTGTGATGTGTGCATTCAACTCTCAGAGTTGAACGTGTCTTATGATGGAGCAGTTTGGAAACACTCTTTTTGTAGAAACTGCAAGTGGATATGTAGAGCGATTTGAGGCCTACTGTGGAAAAGCAAATATCTTCACATAACAACTACACAGAAGCACTCCTAGAAACTTCTTTGTGATGTGTGAATTCAACTCACAGAGCTGAACCTATCTTTTGATGGAGTAGCTTAGAATCTCTCTTTTTTTAGAATCTGCACGTGGATATTTGGAGCGCTTTGAGACCTAAAGTGGAAAAGCAAATATCTTCACATAAAATCTACATAGAGGCACTCTAAGAAACTTCTTTTTGATGTGTGCATTCACCTCACAGAGCTGAACCGATCCTTTGAGTGACCAGTTTTGAATCTCTCTTTTTGTACAATCTGCAAGTGGATATTTGGAGCCCTTTGCGGCCTATGGTGGAAAAGGAAATATCTTCAAATAAAAACTACACAGAAGAAACTTCTTTGTTATGTGAGCATTCAACTCACAGAGTTGAACCTATCTTTTGATTGAGCAGTTTTGAATCTCTCATTTTGCAGAATCTGCAAGGGGATATTTGGAGCCCTTTGCGGCCTATGGTGGAAAAGGAAATACCTTCAAATGAAAAGCACACAGAGGCATTCTGAGAAACTTCCTCGTGATTGTGCATTCAACTCACAGAGTTAAACCTATCTTATGATTGACCAGTTTTGGAACACTCTTTTCATAGGATCTGCAAGTGGATATTTGGCGTGCTTTGAGGCCTATCGTGGAAAAGCAAACTATACAGAAGCATTCTGAGAAACTTCTTTGTGATGTGTGCATTGATCTCACAGAGTTGAAAGTGTATTTTGATTGAGCAGTTTTGAAACACTCTTTTTGTAGAATCTGCAAGTGGATAATTGGGGAGATTTGAGGTATATTGTGGAAAAGCAAGTATCTTCATATAAAAACTATACAGAAGCTTTCTGAGAAACATCTTTGTGAGGTTTGCATTCAACTCACAGAGCTGGAACTATCTTTTGAGTGACCAGTTTTGAATCTCTCTTTTTGTACAATCTGCAAGTGGATATTTGGAGCGTTTTGAGGCCTACATTTGAAAATCAAATATCTTCCCTTAAAAGCTACACAGAAACATTCTCAGAAATTGTTTGTCATGTGTGCTTTCAAATTACCAAGTTGAACCTACCTTGTGATTGAGCAGTTTTGAATCTCTCTTTTTGTGGAATCTGCAAGTGGATATTTTTAGCCATTTGCGGACTGTGGTGGAAAAGGAATTATCTTCAAATCCATTCTACACAGAAGCATTCAGACAAACTTTTTGTGATGAGTGCATTGGTCACACAGAATTGAACCTCTCCTTTGATTGAGCAATTCTGAAACACTCTTTCAGAGGGTCTGCAAGTGGATATTTTAGAGCTTTGGGACAATTGTGGAAAAGTAAATATCTTCACATAGAAACTACACGGAAGCATTCTGAGAAACTTCTTTGGAGGTGTGCATTCAACTCACAGAGTTGAACCTATCTTTTCATTGAGCAGTTTTGAATCTCTCTTTTTGTAGACTCTGCTTGCAGATATTTGGAGAGCTTTGAGGCCTATTGTGGAAAAGGAATCATCTTCACATAACAACACACAGAAGCACTCTGAGAAACTTCTTTGTGAAGTGTGCATTCAACTCACAGAGTTGAACCTATCTTTTGATTGAGAAGCTTTGAATCTCTCTTTTTGTAGAAGCTGCATGTGGATATTTGGAGACGTTTGTGGCCTATGGTAGAAAAGGCAATATCTTCAAATAAAAACTAGACAGAAGCATTTTGAGAAATTTCTCTGTGCTGTGTGCATTCATATCACATGGTTGAAACTACCTTTTGATTGAGCAGTTTTGAATCTCTCTTTTTGTACCATCTGCAATGGATATTTGGAGCCCTTTGTGGTCTGTGGTGGAAAAGGAACTATCCTCAAATAAAAACTACACAGAAGTATTCCGAGAAACTTCCTTGTGATGTGTGCATTCATCTCATAGGGTTGAACCTTTGGTTTGATTGAGCAGTTTTGAGACAATCTTTCCATAGAATCTGGAAGTGAATATTTGGAGAACCTTGAGATCTATTTTGGAGAAGGAGATATCTTTATATAAAAACTGCACAGAAGCATTCTGAGAAACATCTTTGTGAGGTGTGCAATGAAGTCACAGAGTTGAAACTATGTTTTGATTCAGCAGTTTTGAGTCTCTCTTTTTGCAGAATCTGCGAGTGGATATCTGGAGAACTTGGAGGCCTATTTGGAAAAGGAAATATCTTCACATATAAACTATGCAGAAGCATTTTGAGATTCTTCTTTGTGAGGTGTGCATGCAACTCACAGAGTTGAACTTATCTTTTCCTTGAGCACTTTCGTATCTCATTTTCTGTAGAATCTGCAAGTGGATATTTGGAGCTCTTTGCACCCTGTGGTGGAAAGGGAACTATCTTCATATAAAAACTACAAAGAAGCATTCAGAGAAACTTCTTTGTGATGAATGCATTCCTCACACAGAGCTGAACGTTTCTTTTTATTGAGCAGTATTGAAACGCTCTTTTTGCAGAATCACCAAGTGGATATTTGGAGAGCTTTGGGGCCTGTTTTGGAAAATGAAATATCTTCAAAGTAAAACTACACAGAACCATTCTGAGAAACTTCTTTATGATGTGTGCATTCAACTCTCAGAGTTGAACCTACCTTATGATTGACCAATTTGGAAACACTCTTTTTGTAGAGCCTGCAAGTGGATATTTAGAACGATTTGAGGCCTATTGTGGAAAAGCAAATATCTTCACATAAAAACTACACAGAAGCATTCTGAGAAACTTCTTTGGCATGTGTGCATTCAACTAACAGTGTTGAACGTATCTTTTGATTGAGCAGCTTAGAATCTCTCTTTTTGTAGAAAATGCAAGTAGATATTTGGAGCCCCATTTTGCCCTATGGTAGAAAACAGAACATCTTCACATAAAAACTACACAGAAGCATTCTGAGAAACTTCTTTGTGATGTTTGCATTGAACTCCCAGAGTCGAACCTATCTTTTGATAGAGCACTTTTGTATCTCTCTTTTTGCGGAATCTGCAAGTGGATATTTGGAAAGCTTGAGGCCTATTGTGAAAAAGGAAATATCTTCACATAAAAACTACAGAGAAGCATTCTGAGAAACTTCTTTGTGAGGCATGGATTCAACCCACAGAGTTGGACTTATCATTGAGCAGTTTTGAATCTCTCTTTTTGTCGAATCTGCAAGTGGATATTTGGAGCCCTTTGCAACCTAGGGTGGAAAAGGAAATACCTTCAAATAAAAACTATATAGAAGCATTCCGTAAAACTTCTTTGTGATGTGTGCATTCGTCTCACAGAGTTGAACCTATCTAATGATTGAGCGGTTTTGAAACACTCATTTTGTAGAACCTGCAAGTGGATATTGGGAGTACTTTGTGGCCTTCTTTGGAAAAGGGAATATCTTCACATAAAAACTACAAAGAAGCATTCTGAGAAACTTCTTTGTGATGTGTGCATTCATCGCACAGTGTTGGACGTTTCTTTTGATAGGGCAGTTTTGAAACACTCTTTTTCTAGAATCTGCAAGTGGATATTTGGAGCGCTTTGAGGCCTAATGTGGAAAATCAAATATCTTCACATAAAAACTACACAGAGGCATTCTGAGAAACTTCTTTTTTTGTGTGTGCATTCAACTCACATAGTTGAAGTAATCTTTGGATTTAGCTGTTTTGAATCTCCTTTTTGCAGAATCTGCAAGTTGATACTTGGAGCCCTGTTTCACCCTATAGTGGAAAAGCAAATATCTTCACATAAACAAACCCTACAGAGAAGCATTCAGAGAAAGTCCTTTGTGATGTGTGCATTGAACATGCAGAGTTGACACTATCTTTTGATTGTACAGTTTTGAATACGTCTTTTTGTAGAATCTGCAAGTGGAAGTTTGGAGCTGTTTGCACCCTGTGGTGTAAAAGGAAATATCTTCATATAAAAGCTACACAGAAGCATTCAGAAAGACTTCTTTGTGATGAATGCGTTCCTCACACAGAGTTGAATCTTCCTTTTTATTGAGTAGTATTGAAACCCTCTTTTTGCAGAATAACCAGGTGGATATTTGGAGAGCTTTGAGGCCTGTTTTGGAAAAGCAAATATCTTCAAATTAAAACCACACAGAAGCATTCTGAGAAGCTTCTTTGTGATGTGTGCATTCAACTCTCAGAGTTCAACGTGTCTTATGATGGAGCAGTTTGGAAACACTCTTTTTTGTAGAAACTGCAAGTGGATATGTAGAGCGATTTGAGGCCTACTGTGGAAAAGCAAATATCTTCACATAACAACTACACAGAAGCACTCCTAGAAACTTCTTTGTGATGTGTGAATTCAACTCACAGAGCTGAACCTATCTTTTGATGGAGTAGCTTAGAATCTCTCTTTTTTTAGAATCTGCACGTGGATATTTGGAGCGCTTTGAGACCTAAAGTGGAAAAGCAAATATCTTCACATAAAATCTACATAGAGGCACTCTAAGAAACTTCTTTTTGATGTGTGCATTCACCTCACAGAGCTGAACCGATCCTTCGAGTGACCAGTTTTGAATCTCTCTTTTTATACAATCTGCAAGTGGATATTTGGAGCCCTTTGCGGCCTATGGTGGAAAAGGAAATATCTTCAAATAAAAACTACACAGAAGAAACTTCTTTGTTATGTGAGCATTCAACTCACAGAGTTGAACCTATCTTTTGATTGAGCAGTTTTGAATCTCTCATTTTGCAGAATCTGCAAGGGGATATTTGGAGCCCTTTGCGGCCTATGGTGGAAAAGGAAATACCTTCAAATGAAAAGCACACAGAGGCATTCTGAGAAACTTCCTCGTGATTGTGCATTCAACTCACAGAGTTAAACCTATCTTATGATTGACCAGTTTTGGAACACTCTTTTCATAGGATCTGCAAGTGGATATTTGGCGTGCTTTGAGGCCTATCGTGGAAAAGCAAATAACTTCAGATAAAAACTATACAGAAGCATTCTGAGAAACTTCTTTGTGATGTGTGCATTGATCTCACAGAGTTGAAAGTGTATTTTGATTGAGCAGTTTTGAAACACTCTTTTTGTAGAATCTGCAAGTGGATAATTGGGGAGATTTGAGGTATATTGTGGAAAAGCAAGTATCTTCATATAAAAACTATACAGAAGCTTTCTGAGAAACATCTTTGTGAGGTTTGCATTCAACTCACAGAGCTGGAACTATCTTTTGAGTGACCAGTTTTGAATCTCTCTTTTTGTACAATCTGCAAGTGGATATTTGGAGCGTTTTGAGGCCTACATTTGAAAATCAAATATCTTCCCTTAAAAGCTACACAGAAACATTCTCAGAAATTGTTTGTCATGTGTGCTTTCAAATTACCAAGTTGAACCTACCTTGTGATTGAGCAGTTTTGAATCTCTCTTTTTGTGGAATCTGCAAGTGGATATTTTTAGCCATTTGCGGACTGTGGTGGAAAAGGAATTATCTTCAAATCCATTCTACACAGAAGCATTCAGACAAACTTTTTGTGATGAGTGCATTGGTCACACAGAATTGAACCTCTCCTTTGATTGAGCAATTCTGAAACACTCTTTCAGAGGGTCTGCAAGTGGATATTTTAGAGCTTTGGGACAATTGTGGAAAAGTAAATATCTTCACATAGAAACTACACGGAAGCATTCTGAGAAACTTCTTTGGAGGTGTGCATTCAACTCACAGAGTTGAACCTATCTTTTCATTGAGCAGTTTTGAATCTCTCTTTTTGTAGACTCTGCTTGCAGATACTTGGAGAGCTTTGAGGCCTATTGTGGAAAAGGAATCATCTTCACATAAAAACACACAGAAAGCACTCTGAGAAACTTCTTTGTGAAGTGTGCATTCAACTCACAGAGTTGAACCTATCTTTTGATTGAGAAGCTTTGAATCTCTCTTTTTGTAGAAGCTGCATGTGGATATTTGGAGACGTTTGTGGCCTATGGTAGAAAAGGCAATATCTTCAAATAAAAACTAGACAGAGCATTTTGAGAAATTTCTCTGTGCTGTGTGCATTCATATCACATGGTTGAAACTACCTTTTGGTTGAGCAGTTTTGAATCTCTCTTTTTGTAACATCTGCAATGGATATTTGGAGCCCTTTGTGGTCTGTGGTGGAAAAGGAACTATCCTCAAATAAAAACTACACAGAAGTATTCCGAGAAACTTCCTTGTGATGTGTGCATTCATCTCACAGGGTTGAACCTTTGGTTTGATTGAGCAGTTTTGAGACAATCTTTCCATAGAATCTGGAAGTGAATATTTGGAGAACCTTGAGATCTATTTTGGAGAAGGAGATATCTTTATATGAAAACTGCACAGAAGCATTCTGAGAAACATCTTTGTGAGGTGTGCAATGAAGTCACAGAGTTGAAACTATGTTTTGATTCAGCAGTTTTGAGTCTCTCTTTTTGCAGAATCTGCGAGTGGATATCTGGAGAACTTGGAGGCCTATTTGGAAAAGGAAATATCTTCACATATAAACTATGCAGAAGCATTTTGAGATTCTTCTTTGTGAGGTGTGCATGCAACTCACAGAGTTGAACTTATCTTTTCCTTGAGCACTTTCATATCTCATTTTCTGTAGAATCTGCAAGTGGATATTTGGAGCTCTTTGCACCCTGTGGTGGAAAGGGAACTATCTTCATATAAAAACTACAAAGAAGCATTCAGAGAAACTTCTTGTGATGAATGCATTCCTCACACAGAGCTGAACCTTTCTTTTTATGGAGCAGTATTGAAACGCTCTTTTTGCAGAATCACCAAGTGGATATTTGGAGAGCTTTGGGGCCTGTTTTGGAAAATGAAATATCTTCAAAGTAAAACTACACAGAACCATTCTGAGAAACTTCTTTATGATGTGTGCATTCAACTCTCAGAGTTGAACCTACCTTATGATTGAGCAATTTGGAAACACTCTTTTTGTAGAGCCTGCAAGTGGATATTTAGAACGATTTGAGGCCTATTGTGGAAAAGCAAATATCTTCACATAAAAACTACACAGAAGCATTCTGAGAAACTTCTTTGGCATGTGTGCATTCAACTAACAGTGTTGAACGTATCTTTTGATTGAGCAGCTTAGAATCTCTCTTTTTGTAGAAAATGCAAGTAGATATTTGGAGCCCCATTTTGCCCTATGGTAGAAAACAAAACATCTTCACATAAAATCTACACAGAAGCATTCTGAGAAACTTCTTTGTGATGTTTGCATTGAACTCCCAGAGTCGAACCTATCTTTTGATAGAGCACTTTTGTATCTCTCTTTTTGCGGAATCTGCAAGTGGATATTTGGAAAGCTTGAGGCCTATTGTGAAAAAGGAAATATCTTCACATAAAAACTACAGAGAAGCATTCTGAGAAACTTCTTTGTGAGGCATGGATTCAACCCACAGAGTTGGACTTGTCATTGAGCAGTTTTGAATCTCTCTTTTTGTCGAATCTGCAAGTGGATATTTGGAGCCCTTTGTAACCTAGGGTGGAAAAGGAAATACCTTCAAATAAAAACTATATAGAAGCATTCCGTAAAACTTCTTTGTGACGTGTGCATTCGTCTCACAGAGTTGAACCTATCTAATGATTGAGCGGTTTTGAAACACTCATTTTGTAGAACCTGCAAGTGGATATTGGGAGTACTTTGTGGCCTTCTTTGGAAAAGGGAATATCTTCACATAAAAACTACAAAGAAGCATTCTGAGAAACTTCTTTGTGATGTGTGCATTCATCTCACAGTGTTGGACGTTTCTTTTGATAGGGCAGTTTTGAAACACTCTTTTTCTAGAATCTGCAAGTGGATATTTGGAGCGCTTTGAGGCCTAATGTGGAAAATCAAATATCTTCACATAAAAACTACACAGAGGCATTCTGAGAAACTTCTTTTTTGTGTGTGCATTCAACTCACATAGTTGAAGTAATCTTTGGATTTAGCTGTTTTGAATCTCCTTTTTGCAGAATCTGCAAGTTGATACTTGGAGCCCTGTTTCACCCTATAGTGGAAAAGCAAATGTCTTCACATAAACAAACCCTACAGAGAAGCATTCAGAGAAAGTCCTTTGTGATGTGTGCATTGAACATGCAGAGTTGACACTATCTTTTGATTGTACAGTTTTGAATACGTCTTTTTGTAGAATCTGCAAGTGGAAGTTTGGAGCTGTTTGCACCCTGTGGTGTAAAAGGAAATATCTTCATATAAAAGCTACACAGAAGCATTCAGAAAGACTTCTTTGTGATGAATGCGTTCCTCACACAGAGTTGAATCTTCCTTTTTATTGAGTAGTATTGAAACCCTCTTTTTGCAGAATAACCAGGTGGATATTTGGAGAGCTTTGAGGCCTGTTTTGGAAAAGCAAATATCTTCAAATTAAAACCACACAGAAGCATTCTGAGAAGCTTCTTTGTGATGTGTGCATTCAACTCTCAGAGTTCAACGTGTCTTATGATGGAGCAGTTTGGAAACACTCTTTTTTGTAGAAACTGCAAGTGGATATGTAGAGCGATTTGAGGCCTACTGTGGAAAAGCAAATATCTTCACATAACAACTACACAGAAGCACTCCTAGAAACTTCTTTGTGATGTGTGAATTCAACTCACAGAGCTGAACCTATCTTTTGATGGAGTAGCTTAGAATCTCTCTTTTTTTAGAATCTGCACGTGGATATTTGGAGCGCTTTGAGACCTAAAGTGGAAAAGCAAATATCTTCACATAAAATCTACATAGAGGCACTCTAAGAAACTTCTTTTTGATGTGTGCATTCACCTCACAGAGCTGAACCGATCCTTCGAGTGACCAGTTTTGAATCTCTCTTTTTATACAATCTGCAAGTGGATATTTGGAGCCCTTTGCGGCCTATGGTGGAAAAGGAAATATCTTCAAATAAAAACTACACAGAAGAAACTTCTTTGTTATGTGAGCATTCAACTCACAGAGTTGAACCTATCTTTTGATTGAGCAGTTTTGAATCTCTCATTTTGCAGAATCTGCAAGGGGATATTTGGAGCCCTTTGCGGCCTATGGTGGAAAAGGAAATACCTTCAAATGAAAAGCACACAGAGGCATTCTGAGAAACTTCCTCGTGATTGTGCATTCAACTCACAGAGTTAAACCTATCTTATGATTGACCAGTTTTGGAACACTCTTTTCATAGGATCTGCAAGTGGATATTTGGCGTGCTTTGAGGCCTATCGTGGAAAAGCAAATAACTTCAGATAAAAACTATACAGAAGCATTCTGAGAAACTTCTTTGTGATGTGTGCATTGATCTCACAGAGTTGAAAGTGTATTTTGATTGAGCAGTTTTGAAACACTCTTTTTGTAGAATCTGCAAGTGGATAATTGGGGAGATTTGAGGTATATTGTGGAAAAGCAAGTATCTTCATATAAAAACTATACAGAAGCTTTCTGAGAAACATCTTTGTGAGGTTTGCATTCAACTCACAGAGCTGGAACTATCTTTTGAGTGACCAGTTTTGAATCTCTCTTTTTGTACAATCTGCAAGTGGATATTTGGAGCGTTTTGAGGCCTACATTTGAAAATCAAATATCTTCCCTTAAAAGCTACACAGAAACATTCTCAGAAATTGTTTGTCATGTGTGCTTTCAAATTACCAAGTTGAACCTACCTTGTGATTGAGCAGTTTTGAATCTCTCTTTTTGTGGAATCTGCAAGTGGATATTTTTAGCCATTTGCGGACTGTGGTGGAAAAGGAATTATCTTCAAATCCATTCTACACAGAAGCATTCAGACAAACTTTTTGTGATGAGTGCATTGGTCACACAGAATTGAACCTCTCCTTTGATTGAGCAATTCTGAAACACTCTTTCAGAGGGTCTGCAAGTGGATATTTTAGAGCTTTGGGACAATTGTGGAAAAGTAAATATCTTCACATAAAAACTACACGGAAGCATTCTGAGAAACTTCTTTGGAGGTGTGCATTCAACTCACAGAGTTGAACCTATCTTTTCATTGAGCAGTTTTGAATCTCTCTTTTTGTAGACTCTGCTTGCAGATATTTGGAGAGCTTTGAGGCCTATTGTGGAAAAGGGAATATGTTCACATAAAAACACACAGAAGCACTCTGAGAAACTTCTTTGTGAGGTGTGCATTCAACTCACAGAGTTGAACCTATCTTTTGATGGAGAAGTTTTGAATCTCTCTTTTTGTAGAAGCTGCATGTGGATATTTGGAGACGTTTGTGGCCTATGGTAGAAAAGGATATATCTTCAAATAAAAACTAGACAGAAGCATTTTGAGAAAATTCTCTGTGCTGTGTGCATTCATATCACATGGTTGAAACTATCTTTTGATTGAGCAGTTTCGAGTCTCTCTGTTTGTACCATCTGCAATGGATATTTGGAGCCCTTTGTGGTCTGTGGTGGAAAAGGAACTATCCTCAAATAAAAACTACACGGAAGTATTCTGAGAAACTTCTTTGTGATGTGTGCATTTATCTCACAGAGTTGAACCTTTGGTTTGATTGAGCAGTTTTGAGATAATCTTTCCATAGAATCTGGAAGTGAATACTTGGATAACTTTGAGATCTATTTTGGAGAAGGAGATATCTTTATATAAAAACTGCACAGAAGCATTCTGAGAAACATCTTTGTGAGGTGTGCAATGAAGTCACAGAGTTGAAACTATCTTTTGATTCAGCAGTTTTGAGTCTCTCTTTTTGCAGAATCTGCGAGTGGATATCTGGAGAACGTTGAGGCCTACTTGGAAAAGGAAATATCTTCACATAAAAACTACGCAGAAGCATTTTGAGATACTTCTTTGTGAGGTGTGCATTCAACTCACAGAGTTGAACTTATCTTTCCATGGAGCACTTTCATATCTCTTTTTTTGTGGAATCTGCAAGTGGATATTTGGAGCTCTTTGCACCCTGTGGTGGAAAGGGAAATATCTTCATATAAAAACTACAAAGAAGCATTCAGAGAAACTTCTTTGTGATGAATGCATTCCTCACACAGAGTTGAGCCTTTCTTTTTATTGAGCAGTATTGAAACGCTCCTTTTGCAGAATCACCAAGTGGATATTTGGAGAGCTTTGGGGCCTGATTTGGAAAATGAAATATCTTCAAAGTAAAACTACACAGAACCATTCTGAGAAACTTCTTCATGATGTGAGCATTCAACTCTCAGAGTTGAAGCTACCTTATGATTGAGCAATTTGGAAACACTCTTTTTGTAGAGCCTGCAAGTGGATATTTAGAACGATTTGAGGCCTATTGTGGAAAAGCAAATATCTTCACATAAAAACTACACAGAAGCATTCTCAGAGACTTCTTTGGGATGTGTGCATTCAACTAACAGTGTTGAACCTATCTTTTGATTGAGCAGCTTAGAATCTCTCCTTTTGTAGAAAATGCAAGTAGAGATTTGGAGCCCCATTTCGCCCTATGGTAGAAAACAGAACATCTTCACATAAAAACTACGCAGAAGCATTCTGAGAAACTTCTTTGTGATGTTTGCATTGAACTCCCAGAGTCGAACCTATCTTTTGATAGAGCAGTTTTGTATCTCTCTTTTTGCAGAATCTGCAAGTGGATATTTGGAAAGCTTGAGGCCTATTGTGAAAAAGGAAATATCTTCACATAGAAACTACAGAGAAGCATTCTGAGAAACTACTTTGTGATGTGTGCATTCAACTCACAGAGTTGAACCTATCTTTTGATTGAGCAGTTTAAAATATTTTTTTTTGTATAATCAGCAAGTGGATATTTGGAGCCCTTTGCTACCTTTGGTGGAAAAGGAAATACCTTCAAATAAAAACTACATAGAAGCATTCTGAGAAACTTCTTTGTGATGTGTGCATGCATCTCACACTGTTGGACGTTTCTTTTGATAGGGCAGTTTCGAAAGAGTCTTCTTGTAGAGTCTGCAAGTGGATATTTGGAGCGCTTTGAGGCCTAATGTGGAAAATCAAATATCTTCACATAAAAACTACACAGAGGCATTCTGAGAAACTTCTTTTTTGTGTGTGCATTCAACTCACATAGTTGAAGTTATCTTTCGATTTAGCTGTTTTGAATCTCCTTTTTGCAGAATCTGCAAGTTGATACCTGGAGCCCTGTTTCACCCTATAGTGGAAAAGCAAATATCTTCACATAAACAAACACTACAGAGAAGCATTCAGAGAAAGTCCTTTGTGATGTGTGCATTGAACACGCAGAGTTGAAACTATCTTTTGATTGTACAGTTTTGAATATCTCTTTTTGTAGAATCTGCAAGTGGAAGTTTGGAGCTGTTTGCACGCTGTGGTGCAAAAGGAAATATCTTCATATAAAAACTACACAGAAGCTTTCAGAGAGACTTCTTTGTGAGGAATGCGTTCCTCACACAGAGTTGAATCTTCCTTTTTATTGAGTAGTTTTGAAACCCTCTTTTTGCAGAATAACCAGGGGGATATATGGAGAGTTTTGAGGCCTGTTTTGGAAAAGGAAACATCTTCAAATTAAAACCACACAGAAGCATTCTGAGAAGCTTCTTTGTGATGTGTGCATTCAACTCTCAGAGTTGAACGTGTCTTATGATGGAGCAGTTTGGAAACACTCTTTTTGTAGAAACTGCAAGTGGATATGTAGAGCGATTTGAGGCCTACTGTGGAAAAGCAAATATCTTCACATAACAACTACACAGAAGCACTCCTAGAAACTTCTTTGTGATGTGTGAATTCAACTCACAGAGCTGAACCTATCTTTTGATGGAGTAGCTTAGAATGTCTCTTTTTTTAGAATCTGCACGTGGATATTTGGAGCGCTTTGAGACCTAAAGTGGAAAAGCAAATATCTTCACATAAAATCTACATAGAGGCACTCTAAGAAACTTCTTTTTGATGTGTGCATTCAACTCACAGAGCGGAAGCACACAGTGCTTGAGTGACCAGTTTTGAATCTCTCTTTTTGTACAATCTGCAAGTGGATATTGGGAGCCCTTTGCGGCCTGTGGTGGAAAAGGAAATATCTTCAAATAAAAACTACACAGAAGCATTCTGAGAAACTTCTTTGTGATGTGTACATTCATCTCACAGAGTTGACAATTTCTTTTGATTGAGCAGTTTTGAAACACTGCTTTTGTAGAGTCTGGAAGTTGATATTTGGAGGGCTTTGAGGTCTATTTCGGAAAAGAAAATATCTTCACTTAAAAACTAGGCAGAAATACTGTGAGAAACTTCTTTGTTATGTGAGCATTCAACTCACAGAGCTGAACCTATCTTTTGATTGAGCAGTTTTGAATCTCTCATTTTGCAGAATCTGCAAGGGGATATTTGGAGCCCTTTGCTACCTAGGGTGGAAAAGGAAATACCTCCAAATAAAAACTACACAGAGGCATTCTGAGAAACTTCTTGTGATTGTGCATTCAACTCACAGAGTTAAACCTATCTTATGATTGACCAGTTTTGGAACACTGTTTTCACAGGATCTGCAAGTGGATATTTGGTGTGCTTTGAGGCCTATCGTGGAAAAGCAAGTAACTTCAGATAAAAACTATACAGAAGCATTCTGAGAAACTTCTTTGTGATGTGTGCATTGATCTCACAGAGTTGAAAGTGTATTTTGATTGAGCAGTTTTAAAACACTCCTTCTGTAGAATCTGCAAGTGGATAATTGGAGAGATTTGAGGTATGTTGTGGAAAAGCAAATATCTTCATATAAAAACTATACAGAAGCCTTCTGAGAAACATCTTTGTGAGGTTTGCATTCAACTCACAGAGCTGGACCTATCTCTTGAGTGACCAGTTTTGAATCTCTCTTTTTGTTCAATCTGCAAGTGGATATTTGGAGCGATTTGAGGCCTACATTTGAAAATCAAATATCTTCCCTTAAAAACTACACAGAAACATTCTCAGAAATTGTTTGTCATGTGGGCTTTCAAATTACCAAGTTGAACCTATCTTGTGATTGAGCAGTTCTGAATCTCTCTTTTTGTGGAATCTGCAAATGGATATTTTTAGCCCTTTGCGGACTGTGGTGGAAAAGGAATTATCTTCAAATCCATTCTACACAGAAGCATTCAGACAAACTTCTTGGTGATGAGTGCATTGGTCACACAGAATTGAACCTCTCCTTTGATTGAGCAATTCTGAAACACTCTTTCAGAGGGTCTGCAAGTGGATATTTTAGAGCTTTGGGACAATTGTGGAAAAGTAAATATCTTCACATAGAAACTACACGGAAGCATTCTGAGAAACTTCTTTGGAGGTGTGCATTCAACTCACAGAGTTGAACCTATCTTTTCATTGAGCAGTTTTGAATCTCTCTTTTTGTAGACTCTGCTTGCAGATATTTGGAGAGCTTTGAGGCCTATTGTGGAAAAGGGAATATGTTCACATAAAAACACACAGAAGCACTCTGAGAAACTTCTTTGTGAGGTGTGCATTCAACTCACAGAGTTGAACCTATCTTTTGATGGAGAAGTTTTGAATCTCTCTTTTTGTAGAAGCTGCATGTGGATATTTGGAGACGTTTGTGGCCTATGGTAGAAAAGGATATATCTTCAAATAAAAACTAGACAGAAGCATTTTGAGAAAATTCTCTGTGCTGTGTGCATTCATATCACATGGTTGAAACTACCTTTTGATTGAGCAGTTTCGAGTCTCTCTGTTTGTACCATCTGCAATGGATATTTGGAGCCCTTTGTGGTCTGTGGTGGAAAAGGAACTATCCTCAAATAAAAACTACACGGAAGTATTCTGAGAAACTTCTTTGTGATGTGTGCATTTATCTCACAGAGTTGAACCTTTGGTTTGATTGAGCAGTTTTGAGATAATCTTTCCATAGAATCTGGAAGTGAATACTTGGATAACTTTGAGATCTATTTTGGAGAAGGAGATATCTTTATATAAAAACTGCACAGAAGCATTCTGAGAAACATCTTTGTGAGGTGTGCAATGAAGTCACAGAGTTGAAACTATCTTTTGATTCAGCAGTTTTGAGTCTCTCTTTTTGCAGAATCTGCGAGTGGATATCTGGAGAACGTTGAGGCCTACTTGGAAAAGGAAATATCTTCACATAAAAACTACGCAGAAGCATTTTGAGATACTTCTTTGTGAGGTGTGCATTCAACTCACAGAGTTGAACTTATCTTTCCATGGAGCACTTTCATATCTCTTTTTTTGTGGAATCTGCAAGTGGATATTTGGAGCTCTTTGCACCCTGTGGTGGAAAGGGAAATATCTTCATATAAAAACTACAAAGAAGCATTCAGAGAAACTTCTTTGTGATGAATGCATTCCTCACACAGAGTTGAGCCTTTCTTTTTATTGAGCAGTATTGAAACGCTCTTTTTGCAGAATCACCAAGTGGATATTTGGAGAGCTTTGGGGCCTGATTTGGAAAATGAAATATCTTCAAAGTAAAACTACACAGAACCATTCTGAGAAACTTCTTCATGATGTGAGCATTCAACTCTCAGAGTTGAAGCTACCTTATGATTGAGCAATTTGGAAACACTCTTTTTGTAGAGCCTGCAAGTGGATATTTAGAACGATTTGAGGCCTATTGTGGAAAAGCAAATATCTTCACATAAAAACTACACAGAAGCATTCTCAGAGACTTCTTTGGGATGTGTGCATTCAACTAACAGTGTTGAACCTATCTTTTGATTGAGCAGCTTAGAATCTCTCCTTTTGTAGAAAATGCAAGTAGAGATTTGGAGCCCCATTTCGCCCTATGGTAGAAAACAGAACATCTTCACATAAAAACTACGCAGAAGCATTCTGAGAAACTTCTTTGTGATGTTTGCATTGAACTCCCAGAGTCGAACCTATCTTTTGATAGAGCAGTTTTGTATCTCTCTTTTTGCAGAATCTGCAAGTGGATATTTGGAAAGCTTGAGGCCTATTGTGAAAAAGGAAATATCTTCACATAGAAACTACAGAGAAGCATTCTGAGAAACTTCTCCTGTGAGGCATGGATTCAACCCACAGAGTTGGACTTATCATTGAGCAGTTTTGAATCTCTCTTTTGGTCGAATCTGCAAGTGGATATTTGGAGCCCTTTTGCAACCTATGGTGGAAAAGGAAACACCTTCACATAAAAACTATATAGAAGCATTCCGAAAAACTTCTTTGTGATGTGTGCATTCATCTCACAGAGTTGAACCTATCTAATGATTGAGCAGTTTTGAAACACTCATTTTGTAGAACCTGGAAGTGGATATTGGGAGTAGTTTGTGGCCTTCTTTGGAAAAGGAAATATCTTCACATGAAAACTACAAAGAAGCATTCTGAGAAACTTCTTTGTGATGTGTGCATGCATCTCACAGTGTTGGACGTTTCTTTTGATGGGGCAGTTTCGAAAGAGTCTTCTTGTAGAGTCTGCAAGTGGATATTTGGAGCGCTTTGAGGCCTAATGTGGAAAATCAAATATCTTCACATAAAAACTACACAGAGGCATTCTGAGAAACTTCTTTTTTGTGTGTGCATTCAACTCACATAGTTGAAGTTATCTTTCGATTTAGCTGTTTTGAATCTCCTTTTTGCAGAATCTGCAAGTTGATACCTGGAGCCCTGTTTCACCCTATAGTGGAAAAGCAAATATCTTCACATAAACAAACACTACAGAGAAGCATTCAGAGAAAGTCCTTTGTGATGTGTGCATTGAACACGCAGAGTTGAAACTATCTTTTGATTGTACAGTTTTGAATATCTCTTTTTGTAGAATCTGCAAGTGGAAGTTTGGAGCTGTTTGCACGCTGTGGTGCAAAAGGAAATATCTTCATATAAAAACTACACAGAAGCTTTCAGAGAGACTTCTTTGTGAGGAATGCGTTCCTCACACAGAGTTGAATCTTCCTTTTTATTGAGTAGTTTTGAAACCCTCTTTTTGCAGAATAACCAGGGGGATATTTGGAGAGCTTTGAGGCCTGTTTTGGAAAAGGAAATATCTTCAAATTAAAACTACACAGAAGCATTCTGAGAAACTTCTTTGTGATGTGTGCATTCAACTCTCAGAGTTGAACGTGTCTTATGATGGAGCAGTTTGGAAACACTCTTTTTGTAGAAACTGCAAGTGGATATGTAGAGCGATTTGAGGCCTACTGTGGAAAAGCAAATATCTTCACATAACAACTACACAGAAGCACTCCTAGAAACTTCTTTGTGATGTGTGAATTCAACTCACAGAGCTGAACCTATCTTTTGATGAAGTAGCTTAGAATGTCTCTTTTTTTAGAATCTGCACGTGGATATTTGGAGCGCTTTGAGACCTAAAGTGGAAAAGCAAATATCTTCACATAAAATCTACATAGAGGCACTCTAGGAAACTTCTTTTTGATGTGTGCATTCAACTCACAGAGCTGAAGCACACAGTGCTTGAGTGACCAGTTTTGAATCTCTCTTTTTGTACAATCTGCAAGTGGATATTGGGAGCCCTTTGCGGCCTGTGGTGGAAAAGGAAATATCTTCAAATAAAAACTACACAGAAGCATTCTGAGAAACTTCTTTGTGATGTGTACATTCATCTCACAGAGTTGACAATTTCTTTTGATTGAGCAGTTTTGAAACACTGCTTTTGTAGAGTCTGGAAGTTGATATTTGGAGGGCTTTGAGGTCTATTTCGGAAAAGAAAATATCTTCACTTAAAAACTAGGCAGAAATACTGTGAGAAACTTCTTTGTTATGTGAGCATTCAACTCACAGAGCTGAACCTATCTTTTGATTGAGCAGTTTTGAATCTCTCATTTTGCAGAATCTGCAAGGGGATATTTGGAGCCCTTTGCTACCTAGGGTGGAAAAGGAAATACCTCCAAATAAAAACTACACAGAGGCATTCTGAGAAACTTCTTGTGATTGTGCATTCAACTCACAGAGTTAAACCTATCTTATGATTGACCAGTTTTGGAACACTGTTTTCACAGGATCTGCAAGTGGATATTTGGTGTGCTTTGAGGCCTATCGTGGAAAAGCAAGTAACTTCAGATAAAAACTATACAGAAGCATTCTGAGAAACTTCTTTGTGATGTGTGCATTGATCTCACAGAGTTGAAAGTGTATTTTGATTGAGCAGTTTTAAAACACTCCTTCTGTAGAATCTGCAAGTGGATAATTGGAGAGATTTGAGGTATGTTGTGGAAAAGCAAATATCTTCATATAAAAACTATACAGAAGCCTTCTGAGAAACATCTTTGTGAGGTTTGCATTCAACTCACAGAGCTGGACCTATCTCTTGAGTGACCAGTTTTGAATCTCTCTTTTTGTTCAATCTGCAAGTGGATATTTGGAGCGATTTGAGGCCTACATTTGAAAATCAAATATCTTCCCTTAAAAACTACACAGAAACATTCTCAGAAATTGTTTGTCATGTGGGCTTTCAAATTACCAAGTTGAACCTATCTTGTGATTGAGCAGTTCTGAATCTCTCTTTTTGTGGAATCTGCAAATGGATATTTTTAGCCCTTTGCGGACTGTGGTGGAAAAGGAATTATCTTCAAATCCATTCTACACAGAAGCATTCAGACAAACTTCTTGGTGATGAGTGCATTGGTCACACAGAATTGAACCTCTCCTTTGATTGAGCAATTCTGAAACACTCTTTCAGAGGGTCTGCAAGTGGATATTTTAGAGCTTTGGGACAATTGTGGAAAAGTAAATATCTTCACATAGAAACCACACGGAAGCATTCTGAGAAACTTCTTTGGAGGTGTGCATTCAACTCACAGAGTTGAACCTATCTTTTCATTGAGCAGTTTTGAATCTCTCTTTTTGTAGACTCTGCTTGCAGATACTTGGAGAGCTTTGAGGCCTATTGTGGAAAAGGAATCATCTTCACATAAAAACACACAGAAGCACTCTGAGAAACTTCTTTGTGAAGTGTGCATTCAACTCACAGAGTTGAACCTATCTTTTGATTGAGAAGCTTTGAATCTCTCTTTTTGTAGAAGCTGCATGTGGATATTTGGAGACGTTTGTGGCCTATGGTAGAAAAGGCAATATCTTCAAATAAAAACTAGACAGAAGCATTTTGAGAAATTTCTCTGTGCTGTGTGCATTCATATCACATGGTTGAAACTACCTTTTGGTTGAGCAGTTTTGAATCTCTCTTTTTGTAACATCTGCAATGGATATTTGGAGCCCTTTGTGGTCTGTGGTGGAAAAGGAACTATCCTCAAATAAAAACTACACAGAAGTATTCCGAGAAACTTCCTTGTGATGTGTGCATTCATCTCACAGGGTTGAACCTTTGGTTTGATTGAGCAGTTTTGAGACAATCTTTCCATAGAATCTGGAAGTGAATATTTGGAGAACCTTGAGATCTATTTTGGAGAAGGAGATATCTTTATATGAAAACTGCACAGAAGCATTCTGAGAAACATCTTTGTGAGGTGTGCAATGAAGTCACAGAGTTGAAACTATGTTTTGATTCAGCAGTTTTGAGTCTCTCTTTTTGCAGAATCTGCGAGTGGATATCTGGAGAACTTGGAGGCCTATTTGGAAAAGGAAATATCTTCACATATAAACTATGCAGAAGCATTTTGAGATTCTTCTTTGTGAGGTGTGCATGCAACTCACAGAGTTGAACTTATCTTTTCCTTGAGCACTTTCATATCTCATTTTCTGTAGAATCTGCAAGTGGATATTTGGAGCTCTTTGCACCCTGTGGTGGAAAGGGAACTATCTTCATATAAAAACTACAAAGAAGCATTCAGAGAAACTTCTTGTGATGAATGCATTCCTCACACAGAGCTGAACCTTTCTTTTTATGGAGCAGTATTGAAACGCTCTTTTTGCAGAATCACCAAGTGGATATTTGGAGAGCTTTGGGGCCTGTTTTGGAAAATGAAATATCTTCAAAGTAAAACTACACAGAACCATTCTGAGAAACTTCTTTATGATGTGTGCATTCAACTCTCAGAGTTGAACCTACCTTATGATTGAGCAATTTGGAAACACTCTTTTTGTAGAGCCTGCAAGTGGATATTTAGAACGATTTGAGGCCTATTGTGGAAAAGCAAATATCTTCACATAAAAACTACACAGAAGCATTCTGAGAAACTTCTTTGGCATGTGTGCATTCAACTAACAGTGTTGAACGTATCTTTTGATTGAGCAGCTTAGAATCTCTCTTTTTGTAGAAAATGCAAGTAGATATTTGGAGCCCCATTTTGCCCTATGGTAGAAAACAAAACATCTTCACATAAAATCTACACAGAAGCATTCTGAGAAACTTCTTTGTGATGTTTGCATTGAACTCCCAGAGTCGAACCTATCTTTTGATAGAGCACTTTTGTATCTCTCTTTTTTGCGGAATCTGCAAGTGGATATTTGGAAAGCTTGAGGCCTATTGTGAAAAAGGAAATATCTTCACATAAAAACTACAGAGAAGCATTCTGAGAAACTTCTTTGTGAGGCATGGATTCAACCCACAGAGTTGGACTTATCATTGAGCAGTTTTGAATCTCTCTTTTTGTCGAATCTGCAAGTGGATATTTGGAGCCCTTTGCAACCTAGGGTGGAAAAGGAAATACCTTCAAATAAAAACTATATAGAAGCATTCCGTAAAACTTCTTTGTGATGTGTGCATTCGTCTCACAGAGTTGAACCTATCTAATGATTGAGCGGTTTTGAAACACTCATTTTGTAGAACCTGCAAGTGGTTATTGGGAGTACTTTGTGGCCTTCTTTGGAAAAGGGAATATCTTCACATAAAAACTACAAAGAAGCATTCTGAGAAACTTCTTTGTGATGTGCGCATTCATCTCACAGTGTTGGACGTTTCTTTTGATAGGGCAGTTTTGAAACACTCTTTTTCTAGAATCTGCAAGTGGATATTTGGAGCGCTTTGAGGCCTAATGTGGAAAATCAAATATCTTCACATAAAAACTACACAGAGGCATTCTGAGAAACTTCTTTTTTGTGTGTGCATTCAACTCACATAGTTGAAGTAATCTTTGGATTTAGCTGTTTTGAATCTCCTTTTTGCAGAATCTGCAAGTTGATACTTGGAGCCCTGTTTCACCCTATAGTGGAAAAGCAAATATCTTCACATAAACAAACCCTACAGAGAAGCATTCAGAGAAAGTCCTTTGTGATGTGTGCATTGAACATGCACAGTTGACACTATCTTTTGATTGTACAGTTTTGAATACGTCTTTTTGTAGAATCTGCAAGTGGAAGTTTGGAGCTGTTTGCACCCTGTGGTGTAAAAGGAAATATCTTCATATAAAAGCTACACAGAAGCATTCAGAAAGACTTCTTTGTGATGAATGCGTTCCTCACACAGAGTTGAATCTTCCTTTTTATTGAGTAGTATTGAAACCCTCTTTTTGCAGAATAACCAGGTGGATATTCGGAGAGCTTTGAGGCCTGTTTTGGAAAAGGAAATATCTTCAAATTAAAACCACACAGAAGCATTCTGAGAAGCTTCTTTGTGATGTGTGCATTCAACTCTCAGAGTTGAACGTGTCTTATGATGGAGCAGTTTGGAAACACTCTTTTTGTAGAAACTGCAAGTGGATATGTAGAGCGATTTGAGGCCTACTGTGGAAAAGCAAATATCTTCACATAACAACTACACAGAAGCACTCCTAGAAACTTCTTTGTGATGTGTGAATTCAACTCACAGAGCTGAACCTATCTTTTGATGGAGTAGCTTAGAATCTCTCTTTTTTTAGAATCTGCACGTGGATATTTGGAGCGCTTTGAGACCTAAAGTGGAAAAGCAAATATCTTCACATAAAATCTACATAGAGGCACTCTAAGAAACTTCTTTTTGATGTGTGCATTCACCTCACAGAGCTGAACCGATCCTTTGAGTGACCAGTTTTGAATCTCTCTTTTTGTACAATCTGCAAGTGGATATTTGGAGCCCTTTGCGGCCTATGGTGGAAAAGGAAATATCTTCAAATAAAAACTACACAGAAGAAACTTCTTTGTTATGTGAGCATTCAACTCACAGAGTTGAACCTATCTTTTGATTGAGCAGTTTTGAATCTCTCATTTTGCAGAATCTGCAAGGGGATATTTGGAGCCCTTTGCGGCCTATGGTGGAAAAGGAAATACCTTCAAATGAAAAGCACACAGAGGCATTCTGAGAAACTTCCTCGTGATTGTGCATTCAACTCACAGAGTTAAACCTATCTTATGATTGACCAGTTTTGGAACACTCTTTTCATAGGATCTGCAAGTGGATATTTGGCGTGCTTTGAGGCCTATCGTGGAAAAGCAAATAACTTCAGATAAAAACTATACAGAAGCATTCTGAGAAACTTCTTTGTGATGTGTGCATTGATCTCACAGAGTTGAAAGTGTATTTTGATTGAGCAGTTTTGAAACACTCTTTTTGTAGAATCTGCAAGTGGATAATTGGGGAGATTTGAGGTATATTGTGGAAAAGCAAGTATCTTCATATAAAAACTATACAGAAGCTTTCTGAGAAACATCTTTGTGAGGTTTGCATTCAACTCACAGAGCTGGAACTATCTTTTGAGTGACCAGTTTTGAATCTCTCTTTTTGTACAATCTGCAAGTGGATATTTGGAGCGTTTTGAGGCCTACATTTGAAAATCAAATATCTTCCCTTAAAAGCTACACAGAAACATTCTCAGAAATTGTTTGTCATGTGTGCTTTCAAATTACCAAGTTGAACCTACCTTGTGATTGAGCAGTTTTGAATCTCTCTTTTTGTGGAATCTGCAAGTGGATATTTTTAGCCATTTGCGGACTGTGGTGGGAAAGGAATTATCTTCAAATCCATTCTACACAGAAAGCATTCAGACAAACTTTTTGTGATGAGTGCATTGGTCACACAGAATTGAACCTCTCCTTTGATTGAGCAATTCTGAAGCACTCTTTCAGAGGGTCTGCAAGTGGATATTTTAGAGCTTTGGGACAATTGTGGAAAAGTAAATATCTTCACATAGAAACTACACGGAAGCATTCTGAGAAACTTCTTTGGAGGTGTGCATTCAACTCACAGAGTTGAACCTATCTTTTCATTGAGCAGTTTTGAATCTCTCTTTTTGTAGACTCTGCTTGCAGATACTTGGAGAGCTTTGAGGCCTATTGTGGAAAAGGAATCATCTTCACATAAAAACACACAGAAGCACTCTGAGAAACTTCTTTGTGACGTGTGCATTCAACTCACAGAGTTGAACCTATCTTTTGATTGAGAAGCTTTGAATCTCTCTTTTTGTAGAAGCTGCATGTGGATATTTGGAGACGTTTGTGGCCTATGGTAGAAAAGGCAATATCTTCAAATAAAAACTAGACAGAAGCATTTTGAGAAATTTCTCTGTGCTGTGTGCATTCATATCACATGGTTGAAACTACCTTTTGGTTGAGCAGTTTTGAATCTCTCTTTTTGTAACATCTGCAATGGATATTTGGAGCCCTTTGTGGTCTGTGGTGGAAAAGGAACTATCCTCAAATAAAAACTACACAGAAGTATTCCGAGAAACTTCCTTGTGATGTGTGCATTCATCTCACAGGGTTGAACCTTTGGTTTGATTGAGCAGTTTTGAGACAATCTTTCCATAGAATCTGGAAGTGAATATTTGGAGAACCTTGAGATCTATTTTGGAGAAGGAGATATCTTTATATGAAAACTGCACAGAAGCATTCTGAGAAACATCTTTGTGAGGTGTGCAATGAAGTCACAGAGTTGAAACTATGTTTTGATTCAGCAGTTTTGAGTCTCTCTTTTTGCAGAATCTGCGAGTGGATATCTGGAGAACTTGGAGGCCTATTTGGAAAAGGAAATATCTTCACATATAAACTATGCAGAAGCATTTTGAGATTCTTCTTTGTGAGGTGTGCATGCAACTCACAGAGTTGAACTTATCTTTTCCTTGAGCACTTTCATATCTCATTTTCTGTAGAATCTGCAAGTGGATATTTGGAGCTCTTTGCACCCTGTGGTGGAAAGGGAACTATCTTCATATAAAAACTACAAAGAAGCATTCAGAGAAACTTCTTGTGATGAATGCATTCCTCACACAGAGCTGAACCTTTCTTTTTATGGAGCAGTATTGAAACGCTCTTTTTGCAGAATCACCAAGTGGATATTTGGAGAGCTTTGGGGCCTGTTTTGGAAAATGAAATATCTTCAAAGTAAAACTACACAGAACCATTCTGAGAAACTTCTTTATGATGTGTGCATTCAACTCTCAGAGTTGAACCTACCTTATGATTGACCAATTTGGAAACACTCTTTTTGTAGAGCCTGCAAGTGGATATTTAGAACGATTTGAGGCCTATTGTGGAAAAGCAAATATCTTCACATAAAAACTACACAGAAGCATTCTGAGAAACTTCTTTGGCATGTGTGCATTCAACTAACAGTGTTGAACGTATCTTTTGATTGAGCAGCTTAGAATCTCTCTTTTTGTAGAAAATGCAAGTAGATATTTGGAGCCCCATTTTGCCCTATGGTAGAAAACAGAACATCTTCACATAAAAACTACACAGAAGCATTCTGAGAAACTTCTTTGTGATGTTTGCATTGAACTCCCAGAGTCGAACCTATCTTTTGATAGAGCACTTTTGTATCTCTCTTTTTGCGGAATCTGCAAGTGGATATTTGGAAAGCTTGAGACCTATTGTGAAAAAGGAAATATCTTCACATAAAAACTACAGAGAAGCATTCTGAGAAACTTCTTTGTGAGGCATGGATTCAACCCACAGAGTTGGACTTATCATTGAGCAGTTTTGAATCTCTCTTTTTGTCGAATCTGCAAGTGGATATTTGGAGCCCTTGGCAACCTAGGGTGGAAAAGGAAATACCTTCAAATAAAAACTATATAGAAGCATTCCGTAAAACTTCTTTGTGACGTGTGCATTCGTCTCACAGAGTTGAACCTATCTAATGATTGAGCGGTTTTGAAACACTCATTTTGTAGAACCTGCAAGTGGATATTGGGAGTACTTTGTGGCCTTCTTTGGAAAAGGGAATATCTTCACATAAAAATTACAAAGAAGCATTCTGAGAAACTTCTTTGTGATGTGTGCATTCATCTCACAGTGTTGGACGTTTCTTTTGATAGGGCAGTTTTGAAACACTCTTTTTCTAGAATCTGCAAGTGGATATTTGGAGCGCTTTGAGGCCTAATGTGGAAAATCAAATATCTTCACATAAAAACTACACAGAGGCATTCTGAGAAACTTCTTTGTTTTGTGTGCATTCAACTCACATAGTTGAAGTTATCTTTTGATTGAGATGCTTTGAATCTCCTTTTTGCAAAATCTTCACGTGGATATTTGGAGCCCTATTTCACCCTATAGTGGAAAAGCAGATATCTTCACATAAACAAACACTACACAGAGAAGCATTCAGAGAAAGTCCTTTGTGATGTGTGCATTGAACACGCAGAGTTGAAACTATCTTTTGATTGTACAGTTTTGAATATCTCTTTTTGTAGAATCTGCAAGTGGAAGTTTGGAGCTGTTTGCACGCTGTGGTGCAAAAGGAAATATCTTCATATAAAAACTACACAGAAGCTTTCAGAGAGACTTCTTTGTGAGGAATGCGTTCCTCACACAGAGTTGAATCTACCTTTTTATTGAGTAGTTTTGAAACCCTCTTTTTGCAGAATAACCAGGGGGATATTTGGAGAGCTTTGAGGCCTGTTTTGGAAAAGGAAATATCTTCAAATTAAAACCACACAGAAGCATTCTGAGAAACTTCTTTGTGATGTGTGCATTCAACTCTCAGAGTTGAACGTGTCTTATGATGGAGCAGTTTGGAAACACTCTTTTTGTAGAAACTGCAAGTGGATATGTAGAGCGATTTGAGGCCTACTGTGGAAAAGCAAATATCTTCACATAACAACTACACAGAAGCACTCCTAGAAACTTCTTTGTGATGTGTGAATTCAACTCACAGAGCTGAACCTATCTTTTGATGGAGTAGCTTAGAATGTCTCTTTTTTTAGAATCTGCACGTGGATATTTGGAGCGCTTTGAGACCTAAAGTGGAAAAGCAAATATCTTCACATAAAATCTACATAGAGGCACTCTAAGAAACTTCTTTTTGATGTGTGCATTCAACTCACAGAGCGGAAGCACACAGTGCTTGAGTGACCAGTTTTGAATCTCTCTTTTTGTACAATCTGCAAGTGGATATTGGGAGCCCTTTGCGGCCTGTGGTGGAAAAGGAAATATCTTCAAATAAAAACTACACAGAAGCATTCTGAGAAACTTCTTTGTGATGTGTACATTCATCTCACAGAGTTGACAATTTCTTTTGATTGAGCAGTTTTGAAACACTGCTTTTGTAGAGTCTGGAAGTTGATATTTGGAGGGCTTTGAGGTCTATTTCGGAAAAGAAAATATCTTCACTTAAAAACTAGGCAGAAATACTGTGAGAAACTTCTTTGTTATGTGAGCATTCAACTCACAGAGCTGAACCTATCTTTTGATTGAGCAGTTTTGAATCTCTCATTTTGCAGAATCTGCAAGGGGATATTTGGAGCCCTTTGCTACCTAGGGTGGAAAAGGAAATACCTCCAAATAAAAACTACACAGAGGCATTCTGAGAAACTTCTTGTGATTGTGCATTCAACTCACAGAGTTAAACCTATCTTATGATTGACCAGTTTTGGAACACTGTTTTCACAGGATCTGCAAGTGGATATTTGGTGTGCTTTGAGGCCTATCGTGGAAAAGCAAGTAACTTCAGATAAAAACTATACAGAAGCATTCTGAGAAACTTCTTTGTGATGTGTGCATTGATCTCACAGAGTTGAAAGTGTATTTTGATTGAGCAGTTTTAAAACACTCCTTCTGTAGAATCTGCAAGTGGATAATTGGAGAGATTTGAGGTATGTTGTGGAAAAGCAAATATCTTCATATAAAAACTATACAGAAGCCTTCTGAGAAACATCTTTGTGAGGTTTGCATTCAACTCACAGAGCTGGACCTATCTCTTGAGTGACCAGTTTTGAATCTCTCTTTTTGTTCAATCTGCAAGTGGATATTTGGAGCGATTTGAGGCCTACATTTGAAAATCAAATATCTTCCCTTCAAAGCTACACAGAAACATTCTCAGAAATTGTTTGTCATGTGGGCTTTCAAATTACCAGTTGAACCTATCTTGTGATTGAGCAGTTCTGAATCTCTCTTTTTGTGGAATCTGCAAGTGGATATTTTTAGCCCTTTGCGGACTGTGGTGGAAAAGGAATTATCTTCAAATCCATTCTACACAGAAGCATTCAGACAAACTTCTTTGTGATGTTTGCATTGAACTCCCAGAGTCGAACCTGTCTTTTGATAGAGCACTTTTGTATCTCTCTTTTTGCGGAATCTGCAAGTGGATATTTGGAAAGCTTGAGGCCTATTGTGAAAAAGGAAATATCTTCACATAAAAACTACAGAGAAGCATTCTGAGAAACTTCTTTGTGAGGCATGTATTCAACCCACAGAGTTGGACTTATCATTGAGCAGTTTTGAATCTCTCTTTTTGTCGAATCTGCAAGTGGATATTTGGAGCCCTTTGCAACCTAGGGTGGAAAAGGAAATACCTTCAAATAAAAACTATATAGAAGCATTCCGTAAAACTTCTTTGTGATGTGTGCATTCGTCTCACAGAGTTGAACCTATCTAATGATTGAGCGGTTTTGAAACACTCATTTTGTAGAACCTGCAAGTGGATATTGGGAGTACTTTGTGGCCTTCTTTGGAAAAGGGAATATCTTCACATAAAAACTACAAAGAAGCATTCTGAGAAACTTCTTTGTGATGTGTGCATTCATCTCACAGTGTTGGACGTTTCTTTTGATAGGGCAGTTTTGAAACACTCTTTTTCTAGAATCTGCAAGTGGATATTTGGAGCGCTTTGAGGCCTAATGTGGAAAATCAAATATCTTCACATAAAAACTACACAGAGGCATTCTGAGAAACTTCTTTTTTGTGTGTGCATTCAACTCACAATAGTTGAAGTAATCTTTGGATTTAGCTGTTTTGAATCTCCTTTTTGCAGAATCTGCAAGTTGATACTTGGAGCCCTGTTTCACCCTATAGTGGAAAAGCAAATGTCTTCACATAAACAAACCCTACAGAGAAGCATTCAGAGAAAGTCCTTTGTGATGTGTGCATTGAACATGCAGAGTTGACACTATCTTTTGATTGTACAGTTTTGAATACGTCTTTTTGTAGAATCTGCAAGTGGAAGTTTGGAGCTGTTTGCACCCTGTGGTGTAAAAGGAAATATCTTCATATAAAAGCTACACAGAAGCATTCAGAAAGACTTCTTTGTGATGAATGCGTTCCTCACACAGAGTTGAATCTTCCTTTTTATTGAGTAGTATTGAAACCCTCTTTTTGCAGAATAACCAGGTGGATATTTGGAGAGCTTTGAGGCCTGTTTTGGAAAAGCAAATATCTTCAAATTAAAACCACACAGAAGCATTCTGAGAAGCTTCTTTGTGATGTGTGCATTCAACTCTCAGAGTTCAACGTGTCTTATGATGGAGCAGTTTGGAAACACTCTTTTTTGTAGAAACTGCAAGTGGATATGTAGAGCGATTTGAGGCCTACTGTGGAAAAGCAAATATCTTCACATAACAACTACACAGAAGCACTCCTAGAAACTTCTTTGTGATGTGTGAATTCAACTCACAGAGCTGAACCTATCTTTTGATGGAGTAGCTTAGAATCTCTCTTTTTTTAGAATCTGCACGTGGATATTTGGAGCGCTTTGAGACCTAAAGTGGAAAAGCAAATATCTTCACATAAAATCTACATAGAGGCACTCTAAGAAACTTCTTTTTGATGTGTGCATTCACCTCACAGAGCTGAACCGATCCTTCGAGTGACCAGTTTTGAATCTCTCTTTTTATACAATCTGCAAGTGGATATTTGGAGCCCTTTGCGGCCTATGGTGGAAAAGGAAATATCTTCAAATAAAAACTACACAGAAGAAACTTCTTTGTTATGTGAGCATTCAACTCACAGAGTTGAACCTATCTTTTGATTGAGCAGTTTTGAATCTCTCATTTTGCAGAATCTGCAAGGGGATATTTGGAGCCCTTTGCGGCCTATGGTGGAAAAGGAAATACCTTCAAATGAAAAGCACACAGAGGCATTCTGAGAAACTTCCTCGTGATTGTGCATTCAACTCACAGAAGTTAAACCTATCTTATGATTGACCAGTTTTGGAACACTCTTTTCATAGGATCTGCAAGTGGATATTTGGCGTGCTTTGAGGCCTATCGTGGAAAAGCAAATAACTTCAGATAAAAACTATACAGAAGCATTCTGAGAAACTTCTTTGTGATGTGTGCATTGATCTCACAGAGTTGAAAGTGTATTTTGATTGAGCAGTTTTGAAACACTCTTTTTGTAGAATCTGCAAGTGGATAATTGGGGAGATTTGAGGTATATTGTGGAAAAGCAAGTATCTTCATATAAAAACTATACAGAAGCTTTCTGAGAAACATCTTTGTGAGGTTTGCATTCAACTCACAGAGCTGGAACTATCTTTTGAGTGACCAGTTTTGAATCTCTCTTTTTGTACAATCTGCAAGTGGATATTTGGAGCGTTTTGAGGCCTACATTTGAAAATCAAATATCTTCCCTTAAAAGCTACACAGAAACATTCTCAGAAATTGTTTGTCATGTGTGCTTTCAAATTACCAAGTTGAACCTACCTTGTGATTGAGCAGTTTTGAATCTCTCTTTTTGTGGAATCTGCAAGTGGATATTTTTAGCCATTTGCGGACTGTGGTGGAAAAGGAATTATCTTCAAATCCATTCTACACAGAAGCATTCAGACAAACTTTTTGTGATGAGTGCATTGGTCACACAGAATTGAACCTCTCCTTTGATTGAGCAATTCTGAAACACTCTTTCAGAGGGTCTGCAAGTGGATATTTTAGAGCTTTGGGACAATTGTGGAAAAGTAAATATCTTCACATAGAAACTACACGGAAGCATTCTGAGAAACTTCTTTGGAGGTGTGCATTCAACTCACAGAGTTGAACCTATCTTTTCATTGAGCAGTTTTGAATCTCTCTTTTTGTAGACTCTGCTTGCAGATACTTGGAGAGCTTTGAGGCCTATTGTGGAAAAGGAATCATCTTCACATAAAAACACACAGAAGCACTCTGAGAAACTTCTTTGTGACGTGTGCATTCAACTCACAGAGTTGAACCTATCTTTTGATTGAGAAGCTTTGAATCTCTCTTTTTGTAGAAGCTGCATGTGGATATTTGGAGACGTTTGTGGCCTATGGTAGAAAAGGCAATATCTTCAAATAAAAACTAGACAGAAGCATTTTGAGAAATTTCTCTGTGCTGTGTGCATTCATATCACATGGTTGAAACTACCTTTTGGTTGAGCAGTTTTGAATCTCTCTTTTTGTAACATCTGCAATGGATATTTGGAGCCCTTTGTGGTCTGTGGTGGAAAAGGAACTATCCTCAAATAAAAACTACACAGAAGTATTCCGAGAAACTTCCTTGTGATGTGTGCATTCATCTCACAGGGTTGAACCTTTGGTTTGATCGAGCAGTTTTGAGACAATCTTTCCATAGAATCTGGAAGTGAATATTTGGAGAACCTTGAGATCTATTTTGGAGAAGGAGATATCTTTATATGAAAACTGCACAGAAGCATTCTGAGAAACATCTTTGTGAGGTGTGCAATGAAGTCACAGAGTTGAAACTATGTTTTGATTCAGCAGTTTTGAGTCTCTCTTTTTGCAGAATCTGCGAGTGGATATCTGGAGAACTTGGAGGCCTATTTGGAAAAGGAAATATCTTCACATATAAACTATGCAGAAGCATTTTGAGATTCTTCTTTGTGAGGTGTGCAAGCAACTCACAGAGTTGAACTTATCTTTTCCTTGAGCACTTTCATATCTCATTTTCTGTAGAATCTGCAAGTGGATATTTGGAGCTCTTTGCACCCTGTGGTGGAAAGGGAACTATCTTCATATAAAAACTACAAAGAAGCATTCAGAGAAACTTCTTGTGATGAATGCATTCCTCACACAGAGCTGAACCTTTCTTTTTATTGAGCAGTATTGAAACGCTCTTTTTGCAGAATCACCAAGTGGATATTTGGAGAGCTTTGGGGCCTGTTTTGGAAAATGAAATATCTTCAAAGTAAAACTACACAGAACCATTCTGAGAAACTTCTTTATGATGTGTGCATTCAACTCTCAGAGTTGAACCTACCTTATGATTGAGCAATTTGGAAACACTCTTTTTGTAGAGCCTGCAAGTGGATATTTAGAACGATTTGAGGCCTATTGTGGAAAAGCAAATATCTTCACATAAAAACTACACAGAAGCATTCTGAGAAACTTCTTTGGCATGTGTGCATTCAACTAACAGTGTTGAACGTATCTTTTGATTGAGCAGCTTAGAATCTCTCTTTTTGTAGAAAATGCAAGTAGATATTTGGAGCCCCATTTTGCCCTATGGTAGAAAACAAAACATCTTCACATAAAATCTACACAGAAGCATTCTGAGAAACTTCTTTGTGATGTTTGCATTGAACTCCCAGAGTCGAACCTATCTTTTGATAGAGCACTTTTGTATCTCTCTTTTTGCGGAATCTGCAAGTGGATATTTGGAAAGCTTGAGGCCTATTGTGAAAAAGGAAATATCTTCACATAAAAACTACAGAGAAGCATTCTGAGAAACTTCTTTGTGAGGCATGGATTCAACCCACAGAGTTGGACTTATCATTGAGCAGTTTTGAATCTCTCTTTTTGTCGAATCTGCAAGTGGATATTTGGAGCCCTTTGCAACCTAGGGTGGAAAAGGAAATACCTTCAAATAAAAACTATATAGAAGCATTCCGTAAAACTTCTTTGTGACGTGTGCATTCGTCTCACAGAGTTGAACCTATCTAATGATTGAGCGGTTTTGAAACACTCATTTTGTAGAACCTGCAAGTGGATATTGGGAGTACTTTGTGGCCTTCTTTGGAAAAGGGAATATCTTCACATAAAAATTACAAAGAAGCATTCTGAGAAACTTCTTTGTGATGTGTGCATTCATCTCACAGTGTTGGACGTTTCTTTTGATAGGGCAGTTTTGAAACACTCTTTTTCTAGAATCTGCAAGTGGATATTTAGAGCGCTTTGAGGCCTAATGTGGAAAATCAAATATCTTCACATAAAAACTACACAGAGGCATTCTGAGAAACTTCTTTTTTGTGTGTGCATTCAACTCACATAGTTGAAGTAATCTTTGGATTTAGCTGTTTTGAATCTCCTTTTTGCAGAATCTGCAAGTTGATACTTGGAGCCCTGTTTCACCCTATAGTGGAAAAGCAAATATCTTCACATAAACAAACCCTACAGAGAAGCATTCAGAGAAAGTCCTTTGTGATGTGTGCATTGAACATGCAGAGTTGACACTATCTTTTGATTGTACAGTTTTGAATACGTCTTTTTGTAGAATCTGCAAGTGGAAGTTTGGAGCTGTTTGCACCCTGTGGTGTAAAAGGAAATATCTTCATATAAAAGCTACACAGAAGCATTCAGAAAGACTTCTTTGTGATGAATGCGTTCCTCACACAGAGTTGAATCTTCCTTTTTATTGAGTAGTATTGAAACCCTCTTTTTGCAGAATAACCAGGTGGATATTTGGAGAGCTTTGAGGCCTGTTTTGGAAAAGGAAATATCTTCAAATTAAAACCACACAGAAGCATTCTGAGAAGCTTCTTTGTGATGTGTGCATTCAACTCTCAGAGTTCAACGTGTCTTATGATGGAGCAGTTTGGAAACACTCTTTTTGTAGAAACTGCAAGTGGATATGTAGAGCGATTTGAGGCCTACTGTGGAAAAGCAAATATCTTCACATAACAACTACACAGAAGCACTCCTAGAAACTTCTTTGTGATGTGTGAATTCAACTCACAGAGCTGAACCTATCTTTTGATGGAGTAGCTTAGAATCTCTCTTTTTTTAGAATCTGCACGTGGATATTTGGAGCGCTTTGAGACCTAAAGTGGAAAAGCAAATATCTTCACATAAAATCTACATAGAGGCACTCTAAGAAACTTCTTTTTGATGTGTGCATTCACCTCACAGAGCTGAACCGATCCTTCGAGTGACCAGTTTTGAATCTCTCTTTTTATACAATCTGCAAGTGGATATTTGGAGCCCTTTGCGGCCTATGGTGGAAAAGGAAATATCTTCAAATAAAAACTACACAGAAGAAACTTCTTTGTTATGTGAGCATTCAACTCACAGAGTTGAACCTATCTTTTGATTGAGCAGTTTTGAATCTCTCATTTTGCAGAATCTGCAAGGGGATATTTGGAGCCCTTTGCGGCCTATGGTGGAAAAGGAAATACCTTCAAATGAAAAGCACACAGAGGCATTCTGAGAAACTTCCTCGTGATTGTGCATTCAACTCACAGAAGTTAAACCTATCTTATGATTGACCAGTTTTGGAACACTCTTTTCATAGGATCTGCAAGTGGATATTTGGCGTGCTTTGAGGCCTATCGTGGAAAAGCAAATAACTTCAGATAAAAACTATACAGAAGCATTCTGAGAAACTTCTTTGTGATGTGTGCATTGATCTCACAGAGTTGAAAGTGTATTTTGATTGAGCAGTTTTGAAACACTCTTTTTGTAGAATCTGCAAGTGGATAATTGGGGAGATTTGAGGTATATTGTGGAAAAGCAAGTATCTTCATATAAAAACTATACAGAAGCTTTCTGAGAAACATCTTTGTGAGGTTTGCATTCAACTCACAGAGCTGGAACTATCTTTTGAGTGACCAGTTTTGAATCTCTCTTTTTGTACAATCTGCAAGTGGATATTTGGAGCGTTTTGAGGCCTACATTTGAAAATCAAATATCTTCCCTTAAAAGCTACACAGAAACATTCTCAGAAATTGTTTGTCATGTGTGCTTTCAAATTACCAAGTTGAACCTACCTTGTGATTGAGCAGTTTTGAATCTCTCTTTTTGTGGAATCTGCAAGTGGATATTTTTAGCCATTTGCGGACTGTGGTGGAAAAGGAATTATCTTCAAATCCATTCTACACAGAAGCATTCAGACAAACTTTTTGTGATGAGTGCATTGGTCACACAGAATTGAACCTCTCCTTTGATTGAGCAATTCTGAAACACTCTTTCAGAGGGTCTGCAAGTGGATATTTTAGAGCTTTGGGACAATTGTGGAAAAGTAAATATCTTCACATAGAAACTACACGGAAGCATTCTGAGAAACTTCTTTGGAGGTGTGCATTCAACTCACAGAGTTGAACCTATCTTTTCATTGAGCAGTTTTGAATCTCTCTTTTTGTAGACTCTGCTTGCAGATACTTGGAGAGCTTTGAGGCCTATTGTGGAAAAGGAATCATCTTCACATAAAAACACACAGAAGCACTCTGAGAAACTTCTTTGTGAAGTGTGCATTCAACTCACAGAGTTGAACCTATCTTTTGATTGAGAAGCTTTGAATCTCTCTTTTTGTAGAAGCTGCATGTGGATATTTGGAGACGTTTGTGGCCTATGGTAGAAAAGGCAATATCTTCAAATAAAAACTAGACAGAAGCATTTTGAGAAATTTCTCTGTGCTGTGTGCATTCATATCACATGGTTGAAACTACCTTTTGGTTGAGCAGTTTTGAATCTCTCTTTTTGTAACATCTGCAATGGATATTTGGAGCCCTTTGTGGTCTGTGGTGGAAAAGGAACTATCCTCAAATAAAAACTACACAGAAGTATTCCGAGAAACTTCCTTGTGATGTGTGCATTCATCTCACAGGGTTGAACCTTTGGTTTGATTGAGCAGTTTTGAGACAATCTTTCCATAGAATCTGGAAGTGAATATTTGGAGAACCTTGAGATCTATTTTGGAGAAGGAGATATCTTTATATGAAAACTGCACAGAAGCATTCTGAGAAACATCTTTGTGAGGTGTGCAATGAAGTCACAGAGTTGAAACTATGTTTTGATTCAGCAGTTTTGAGTCTCTCTTTTTGCAGAATCTGCGAGTGGATATCTGGAGAACTTGGAGGCCTATTTGGAAAAGGAAATATCTTCACATATAAACTATGCAGAAGCATTTTGAGATTCTTCTTTGTGAGGTGTGCATTCAAGTCACAGAGTTGAAATTATCTTTTCCTTGAGCACTTTCATATCTCATTTTCTGTAGAATCTGCAAGTGGATATTTGGAGCTCTTTGCACCCTGTGGTGGAAAGGGAACTATCTTCATATAAAAACTACAAAGAAGCATTCAGAGAAACTTCTTTGTGATGAATGCATTCCTCACACAGAGCTGAACGTTTCTTTTTATTGAGCAGTATTGAAACGCTCTTTTTGCAGAATCACCAAGTGGATATTTGGAGAGCTTTGGGGCCTGTTTTGGAAAATGAATTATCTTCAAAGTAAAACTACACAGAACCATTCTGAGAAACTTCTTTATGATGTGTGCATTCAACTCTCAGAGTTGAACCTACCTTATGATTGACCAATTTGGAAACACTCTTTTTGTAGAGCCTGCAAGTGGATATTTAGAACGATTTGAGGCCTATTGTGGAAAAGCAAATATCTTCACATAAAAACTACACAGAAGCATTCTGAGAAACTTCTTTGGCATGTGTGCATTCAACTAACAGTGTTGAACGTATCTTTTGATTGAGCAGCTTAGAATCTCTCTTTTTGTAGAAAATGCAAGTAGATATTTGGAGCCCCATTTTGCCCTATGGTAGAAAACAGAACATCTTCACATAAAAACTACACAGAAGCATTCTGAGAAACTTCTTTGTGATGTTTGCATTGAACTCCCAGAGTCGAACCTATCTTTTGATAGAGCACTTTTGTATCTCTCTTTTTGCGGAATCTGCAAGTGGATATTTGGAAAGCTTGAGGCCTATTGTGAAAAAGGAAATATCTTCACATAAAAACTACAGAGAAGCATTCTGAGAAACTTCTTTGTGAGGCATGGATTCAACCCACAGAGTTGGACTTATCATTGAGCAGTTTTGAATCTCTCTTTTTGTCGAATCTGCAAGTGGATATTTGGAGCCCTTTGCAACCTAGGGTGGAAAAGGAAATACCTTCAAATAAAAACTATATAGAAGCATTCCGTAAAACTTCTTTGTGACGTGTGCATTCGTCTCACAGAGTTGAACCTATCTAATGATTGAGCGGTTTTGAAACACTCATTTTGTAGAACCTGCAAGTGGATATTGGGAGTACTTTGTGGCCTTCTTTGGAAAAGGGAATATCTTCACATAAAAATTACAAAGAAGCATTCTGAGAAACTTCTTTGTGATGTGTGCATTCATCTCACAGTGTTGGACGTTTCTTTTGATAGGGCAGTTTTGAAACACTCTTTTTCTAGAATCTGCAAGTGGATATTTAGAGCGCTTTGAGGCCTAATGTGGAAAATCAAATATCTTCACATAAAAACTACACAGAGGCATTCTGAGAAACTTCTTTTTTGTGTGTGCATTCAACTCACATAGTTGAAGTAATCTTTGGATTTAGCTGTTTTGAATCTCCTTTTTGCAGAATCTGCAAGTTGATACTTGGAGCCCTGTTTCACCCTATAGTGGAAAAGCAAATATCTTCACATAAACAAACCCTACAGAGAAGCATTCAGAGAAAGTCCTTTGTGATGTGTGCATTGAACATGCAGAGTTGACACTATCTTTTGATTGTACAGTTTTGAATACGTCTTTTTGTAGAATCTGCAAGTGGAAGTTTGGAGCTGTTTGCACCCTGTGGTGTAAAAGGAAATATCTTCATATAAAAGCTACACAGAAGCATTCAGAAAGACTTCTTTGTGATGAATGCGTTCCTCACACAGAGTTGAATCTTCCTTTTTATTGAGTAGTATTGAAACCCTCTTTTTGCAGAATAACCAGGTGGATATTTGGAGAGCTTTGAGGCCTGTTTTGGAAAAGGAAATATCTTCAAATTAAAACCACACAGAAGCATTCTGAGAAGCTTCTTTGTGATGTGTGCATTCAACTCTCAGAGTTGAACGTGTCTTATGATGGAGCAGTTTGGAAACACTCTTTTTGTAGAAACTGCAAGTGGATATGTAGAGCGATTTGAGGCCTACTGTGGAAAAGCAAATATCTTCACATAACAACTACACAGAAGCACTCCTAGAAACTTCTTTGTGATGTGTGAATTCAACTCACAGAGCTGAACCTATCTTTTGATGGAGTAGCTTAGAATCTCTCTTTTTTTAGAATCTGCACGTGGATATTTGGAGCGCTTTGAGACCTAAAGTGGAAAAGCAAATATCTTCACATAAAATCTACATAGAGGCACTCTAAGAAACTTCTTTTTGATGTGTGCATTCACCTCACAGAGCTGAACCGATCCTTTGAGTGACCAGTTTTGAATCTCTCTTTTTATACAATCTGCAAGTGGATATTTGGAGCCCTTTGCGGCCTATGGTGGAAAAGGAAATATCTTCAAATAAAAACTACACAGAAGAAACTTCTTTGTTATGTGAGCATTCAACTCACAGAGTTGAACCTATCTTTTGATTGAGCAGTTTTGAATCTCTCATTTTGCAGAATCTGCAAGGGGATATTTGGAGCCCTTTGCGGCCTATGGTGGAAAAGGAAATACCTTCAAATGAAAAGCACACAGAGGCATTCTGAGAAACTTCCTCGTGATTGTGCATTCAACTCACAGAGTTAAACCTATCTTATGATTGACCAGTTTTGGAACACTCTTTTCATAGGATCTGCAAGTGGATATTTGGCGTGCTTTGAGGCCTATCGTGGAAAAGCAAACTATACAGAAGCATTCTGAGAAACTTCTTTGTGATGTGTGCATTGATCTCACAGAGTTGAAAGTGTATTTTGATTGAGCAGTTTTGAAACACTCTTTTTGTAGAATCTGCAAGTGGATAATTGGGGAGATTTGAGGTATATTGTGGAAAAGCAAGTATCTTCATATAAAAACTATACAGAAGCTTTCTGAGAAACATCTTTGTGAGGTTTGCATTCAACTCACAGAGCTGGAACTATCTTTTGAGTGACCAGTTTTGAATCTCTCTTTTTGTACAATCTGCAAGTGGATATTTGGAGCGTTTTGAGGCCTACATTTGAAAATCAAATATCTTCCCTTAAAAGCTACACAGGAAACATTCTCAGAAATTGTTTGTCATGTGTGCTTTCAAATTACCAAGTTGAACCTACCTTGTGATTGAGCAGTTTTGAATCTCTCTTTTTGTGGAATCTGCAAGTGGATATTTTTAGCCATTTGCGGACTGTGGTGGAAAAGGAATTATCTTCAAATCCATTCTACACAGAAGCATTCAGACAAACTTTTTGTGATGAGTGCATTGGTCACACAGAATTGAACCTCTCCTTTGATTGAGCAATTCTGAAACACTCTTTCAGAGGGTCTGCAAGTGGATATTTTAGAGCTTTGGGACAATTGTGGAAAAGTAAATATCTTCACATAGAAACTACACGGAAGCATTCTGAGAAACTTCTTTGGAGGTGTGCATTCAACTCACAGAGTTGAACCTATCTTTTCATTGAGCAGTTTTGAATCTCTCTTTTTGTAGACTCTGCTTGCAGATACTTGGAGAGCTTTGAGGCCTATTGTGGAAAAGGAATCATCTTCACATAAAAACACACAGAAGCACTCTGAGAAACTTCTTTGTGAAGTGTGCATTCAACTCACAGAGTTGAACCTATCTTTTGATTGAGAAGCTTTGAATCTCTCTTTTTGTAGAAGCTGCATGTGGATATTTGGAGACGTTTGTGGCCTATGGTAGAAAAGGCAATATCTTCAAATAAAAACTAGACAGAAGCATTTTGAGAAATTTCTCTGTGCTGTGTGCATTCATATCACATGGTTGAAACTACCTTTTGGTTGAGCAGTTTTGAATCTCTCTTTTTGTAACATCTGCAATGGATATTTGGAGCCCTTTGTGGTCTGTGGTGGAAAAGGAACTATCCTCAAATAAAAACTACACAGAAGTATTCCGAGAAACTTCCTTGTGATGTGTGCATTCATCTCACAGGGTTGAACCTTTGGTTTGATTGAGCAGTTTTGAGACAATCTTTCCATAGAATCTGGAAGTGAATATTTGGAGAACCTTGAGATCTATTTTGGAGAAGGAGATATCTTTATATGAAAACTGCACAGAAGCATTCTGAGAAACATCTTTGTGAGGTGTGCAATGAAGTCACAGAGTTGAAACTATGTTTTGATTCAGCAGTTTTGAGTCTCTCTTTTTGCAGAATCTGCGAGTGGATATCTGGAGAACTTGGAGGCCTATTTGGAAAAGGAAATATCTTCACATATAAACTATGCAGAAGCATTTTGAGATTCTTCTTTGTGAGGTGTGCATGCAACTCACAGAGTTGAACTTATCTTTTCCTTGAGCACTTTCATATCTCATTTTCTGTAGAATCTGCAAGTGGATATTTGGAGCTCTTTGCACCCTGTGGTGGAAAGGGAACTATCTTCATATAAAAACTACAAAGAAGCATTCAGAGAAACTTCTTGTGATGAATGCATTCCTCACACAGAGCTGAACCTTTCTTTTTATGGAGCAGTATTGAAACGCTCTTTTTGCAGAATCACCAAGTGGATATTTGGAGAGCTTTGGGGCCTGTTTTGGAAAATGAAATATCTTCAAAGTAAAACTACACAGAACCATTCTGAGAAACTTCTTTATGATGTGTGCATTCAACTCTCAGAGTTGAACCTACCTTATGATTGAGCAATTTGGAAACACTCTTTTTGTAGAGCCTGCAAGTGGATATTTAGAACGATTTGAGGCCTATTGTGGAAAAGCAAATATCTTCACATAAAAACTACACAGAAGCATTCTGAGAAACTTCTTTGGCATGTGTGCATTCAACTAACAGTGTTGAACGTATCTTTTGATTGAGCAGCTTAGAATCTCTCTTTTTGTAGAAAATGCAAGTAGATATTTGGAGCCCCATTTTGCCCTATGGTAGAAAACAAAACATCTTCACATAAAATCTACACAGAAGCATTCTGAGAAACTTCTTTGTGATGTTTGCATTGAACTCCCAGAGTCGAACCTATCTTTTGATAGAGCACTTTTGTATCTCTCTTTCTGCGGAATCTGCAAGTGGATATTTGGAAAGCTTGAGGCCTATTGTGAAAAAGGAAATATCTTCACATAAAAACTACAGAGAAGCATTCTGAGAAACTTCTTTGTGAGGCATGGATTCAACCCACAGAGTTGGACTTGTCATTGAGCAGTTTTGAATCTCTCTTTTTGTCGAATCTGCAAGTGGATATTTGGAGCCCTTTGCAACCTAGGGTGGAAAAGGAAATACCTTCAAATAAAAACTATATAGAAGCATTCCGTAAAACTTCTTTGTGACGTGTGCATTCGTCTCACAGAGTTGAACCTATCTAATGATTGAGCGGTTTTGAAACACTCATTTTGTAGAACCTGCAAGTGGATATTGGGAGTACTTTGTGGCCTTCTTTGGAAAAGGGAATATCTTCACATAAAAATTACAAAGAAGCATTCTGAGAAACTTCTTTGTGATGTGTGCATTCATCTCACAGTGTTGGACGTTTCTTTTGATAGGGCAGTTTTGAAACACTCTTTTTCTAGAATCTGCAAGTGGATATTTAGAGCGCTTTGAGGCCTAATGTGGAAAATCAAATATCTTCACATAAAAACTACACAGAGGCATTCTGAGAAACTTCTTTTTTGTGTGTGCATTCAACTCACATAGTTGAAGTAATCTTTGGATTTAGCTGTTTTGAATCTCCTTTTTGCAGAATCTGCAAGTTGATACTTGGAGCCCTGTTTCACCCTATAGTGGAAAAGCAAATATCTTCACATAAACAAACCCTACAGAGAAGCATTCAGAGAAAGTCCTTTGTGATGTGTGCATTGAACATGCAGAGTTGACACTATCTTTTGATTGTACAGTTTTGAATACGTCTTTTTGTAGAATCTGCAAGTGGAAGTTTGGAGCTGTTTGCACCCTGTGGTGTAAAAGGAAATATCTTCATATAAAAGCTACACAGAAGCATTCAGAAAGACTTCTTTGTGATGAATGCGTTCCTCACACAGAGTTGAATCTTCCTTTTTATTGAGTAGTATTGAAACCCTCTTTTTGCAGAATAACCAGGTGGATATTCGGAGAGCTTTGAGGTCTGTTTTGGAAAAGGAAATATCTTCAAATTAAAACCACACAGAAGCATTCTGAGAAGCTTCTTTGTGATGTGTGCATTCAACTCTCAGAGTTGAACGTGTCTTATGATGGAGCAGTTTGGAAACACTCTTTTTGTAGAAACTGCAAGTGGATATGTAGAGCGATTTGAGGCCTACTGTGGAAAAGCAAATATCTTCACATAACAACTACACAGAAGCACTCCTAGAAACTTCTTTGTGATGTGTGAATTCAACTCACAGAGCTGAACCTATCTTTTGATGGAGTAGCTTAGAATCTCTCTTTTTTTAGAATCTGCACGTGGATATTTGGAGCGCTTTGAGACCTAAAGTGGAAAAGCAAATATCTTCACATAAAATCTACATAGAGGCACTCTAAGAAACTTCTTTTTGATGTGTGCATTCACCTCACAGAGCTGAACCGATCCTTCGAGTGACCAGTTTTGAATCTCTCTTTTTATACAATCTGCAAGTGGATATTTGGAGCCCTTTGCGGCCTATGGTGGAAAAGGAAATATCTTCAAATAAAAACTACACAGAAGAAACTTCTTTGTTATGTGAGCATTCAACTCACAGAGTTGAACCTATCTTTTGATTGAGCAGTTTTGAATCTCTCATTTTGCAGAATCTGCAAGGGGATATTTGGAGCCCTTTGCGGCCTATGGTGGAAAAGGAAATACCTTCAAATGAAAAGCACACAGAGGCATTCTGAGAAACTTCCTCGTGATTGTGCATTCAACTCACAGAGTTAAACCTATCTTATGATTGACCAGTTTTGGAACACTCTTTTCATAGGATCTGCAAGTGGATATTTGGCGTGCTTTGAGGCCTATCGTGGAAAAGCAAATAACTTCAGATAAAAACTATACAGAAGCATTCTGAGAAACTTCTTTGTGATGTGTGCATTGATCTCACAGAGTTGAAAGTGTATTTTGATTGAGCAGTTTTGAAACACTCTTTTTGTAGAATCTGCAAGTGGATAATTGGGGAGATTTGAGGTATATTGTGGAAAAGCAAGTATCTTCATATAAAAACTATACAGAAGCTTTCTGAGAAACATCTTTGTGAGGTTTGCATTCAACTCACAGAGCTGGAACTATCTTTTGAGTGACCAGTTTTGAATCTCTCTTTTTGTACAATCTGCAAGTGGATATTTGGAGCGTTTTGAGGCCTACATTTGAAAATCAAATATCTTCCCTTAAAAGCTACACAGAAACATTCTCAGAAATTGTTTGTCATGTGTGCTTTCAAATTACCAAGTTGAACCTACCTTGTGATTGAGCAGTTTTGAATCTCTCTTTTTGTGGAATCTGCAAGTGGATATTTTTAGCCATTTGCGGACTGTGGTGGAAAAGGAATTATCTTCAAATCCATTCTACACAGAAGCATTCAGACAAACTTTTTGTGATGAGTGCATTGGTCACACAGAATTGAACCTCTCCTTTGATTGAGCAATTCTGAAACACTCTTTCAGAGGGTCTGCAAGTGGATATTTTAGAGCTTTGGGACAATTGTGGAAAAGTAAATATCTTCACATAGAAACTACACGGAAGCATTCTGAGAAACTTCTTTGGAGGTGTGCATTCAACTCACAGAGTTGAACCTATCTTTTCATTGAGCAGTTTTGAATCTCTCTTTTTGTAGACTCTGCTTGCAGATACTTGGAGAGCTTTGAGGCCTATTGTGGAAAAGGAATCATCTTCACATAAAAACACACAGAAGCACTCTGAGAAACTTCTTTGTGAAGTGTGCATTCAACTCACAGAGTTGAACCTATCTTTTGATTGAGAAGCTTTGAATCTCTCTTTTTGTAGAAGCTGCATGTGGATATTTGGAGACGTTTGTGGCCTATGGTAGAAAAGGCAATATCTTCAAATAAAAACTAGACAGAAGCATTTTGAGAAATTTCTCTGTGCTGTGTGCATTCATATCACATGGTTGAAACTACCTTTTGGTTGAGCAGTTTTGAATCTCTCTTTTTGTAACATCTGCAATGGATATTTGGAGCCCTTTGTGGTCTGTGGTGGAAAAGGAACTATCCTCAAATAAAAACTACACAGAAGTATTCCGAGAAACTTCCTTGTGATGTGTGCATTCATCTCACAGGGTTGAACCTTTGGTTTGATTGAGCAGTTTTGAGACAATCTTTCCATAGAATCTGGAAGTGAATATTTGGAGAACCTTGAGATCTATTTTGGAGAAGGAGATATCTTTATATGAAAACTGCACAGAAGCATTCTGAGAAACATCTTTGTGAGGTGTGCAATGAAGTCACAGAGTTGAAACTATGTTTTGATTCAGCAGTTTTGAGTCTCTCTTTTTGCAGAATCTGCGAGTGGATATCTGGAGAACTTGGAGGCCTATTTGGAAAAGGAAATATCTTCACATATAAACTATGCAGAAGCATTTTGAGATTCTTCTTTGTGAGGTGTGCATGCAACTCACAGAGTTGAACTTATCTTTTCCTTGAGCACTTTCATATCTCATTTTCTGTAGAATCTGCAAGTGGATATTTGGAGCTCTTTGCACCCTGTGGTGGAAAGGGAACTATCTTCATATAAAAACTACAAAGAAGCATTCAGAGAAACTTCTTGTGATGAATGCATTCCTCACACAGAGCTGAACCTTTCTTTTTATGGAGCAGTATTGAAACGCTCTTTTTGCAGAATCACCAAGTGGATATTTGGAGAGCTTTGGGGCCTGTTTTGGAAAATGAAATTCTTCAAAGTAAAACTACACAGAACCATTCTGAGAAACTTCTTTATGATGTGTGCATTCAACTCTCAGAGTTGAACCTACCTTATGATTGAGCAATTTGGAAACACTCTTTTTGTAGAGCCTGCAAGTGGATATTTAGAACGATTTGAGGCCTATTGTGGAAAAGCAAATATCTTCACATAAAAACTACACAGAAGCATTCTGAGAAACTTCTTTGGCATGTGTGCATTCAACTAACAGTGTTGAACGTATCTTTTGATTGAGCAGCTTAGAATCTCTCTTTTTGTAGAAAATGCAAGTAGATATTTGGAGCCCCATTTTGCCCTATGGTAGAAAACAAAACATCTTCACATAAAATCTACACAGAAGCATTCTGAGAATCTTCTTTGTGATGTTTGCATTGAACTCACCAGAGTCGAACCTATCTTTTGATAGAGCAGTTTTGTATCTCTCTTTTTGCAGAATCTGCAAGTGGATATTTGGAAAGCTTGAGGCCTATTGTGAAAAAGGAAATATCTTCACATAGAAACTACAGAGAAGCATTCTGAGAAACTTCTTTGTGAGGCATGGATTCAACCCACAGAGTTGGACTTATCATTGAGCAGTTTTGAATCTCTCTTTTTGTCGAATCTGCAAGTGGATATTTGGAGCCCTTTGCAACCTAGGGTGGAAAAGGAAATACCTTCAAATAAAAACTATATAGAAGCATTCCGTAAAACTTCTTTGTGACGTGTGCATTCGTCTCACAGAGTTGAACCTATCTAATGATTGAGCGGTTTTGAAACACTCATTTTGTAGAACCTGCAAGTGGATATTGGGAGTACTTTGTGGCCTTCTTTGGAAAAGGGAATATCTTCACATAAAAACTACAAAGAAGCATTCTGAGAAACTTCTTTGTGATGTGTGCATTCATCTCACAGTGTTGGACGTTTCTTTTGATAGGGCAGTTTTGAAACACTCTTTTTCTAGAATCTGCAAGTGGATATTTGGAGCGCTTTGAGGCCTAATGTGGAAAATCAAATATCTTCACATAAAAACTACACAGAGGCATTCTGAGAAACTTCTTTTTTGTGTGTGCATTCAACTCACATAGTTGAAGTAATCTTTGGATTTAGCTGTTTTGAATCTCCTTTTTGCAGAATCTGCAAGTTGATACTTGGAGCCCTGTTTTACCCTATAGTGGAAAAGCAAATATCTTCACATAAACAAACCCTACAGAGAAGCATTCAGAGAAAGTCCTTTGTGATGTGTGCATTGAACATGCAGAGTTGACACTATCTTTTGATTGTACAGTTTTGAATACGTCTTTTTGTAGAATCTGCAAGTGGAAGTTTGGAGCTGTTTGCACCCTGTGGTGTAAAAGGAAATATCTTCATATAAAAGCTACACAGAAGCATTCAGAAAGACTTCTTTGTGATGAATGCGTTCCTCACACAGAGTTGAATCTTCCTTTTTATTGAGTAGTATTGAAACCCTCTTTTTGCAGAATAACCAGGTGGATATTCGGAGAGCTTTGAGGCCTGTTTTGGAAAAGGAAATATCTTCAAATTAAAACCACACAGAAGCATTCTGAGAAGCTTCTTTGTGATGTGTGCATTCAACTCTCAGAGTTGAACGTGTCTTATGATGGAGCAGTTTGGAAACACTCTTTTTGTAGAAACTGCAAGTGGATATGTAGAGCGATTTGAGGCCTACTGTGGTAAAGCAAATATACTTCACATAACAACTACACAGAAGCACTCCTAGAAACTTCTTTGTGATGTGTGAATTCAACTCACAGAGCTGAACCTATCTTTTGATGGAGTAGCTTAGAATCTCTCTTTTTTTAGAATCTGCACGTGGATATTTGGAGCGCTTTGAGACCTAAAGTGGAAAAGCAAATATCTTCACATAAAATCTACATAGAGGCACTCTAAGAAACTTCTTTTTGATGTGTGCATTCACCTCACAGAGCTGAACCGATCCTTTGAGTGACCAGTTTTGAATCTCTCTTTTTATACAATCTGCAAGTGGATATTTGGAGCCCTTTGCGGCCTATGGTGGAAAAGGAAATATCTTCAAATAAAAACTACACAGAAATACTGTGAGAAACTTCTTTGTTATGTGAGCATTCAACTCACAGAGTTGAACCTATCTTTTGATTGAGCAGTTTTGAATCTCTCATTTTGCAGAATCTGCAAGGGGATATTTGGAGCCCTTTGCGGCCTATGGTGGAAAAGGAAATACCTTCAAATGAAAAGCACACAGAGGCATTCTGAGAAACTTCCTCGTGATTGTGCATTCAACTCACAGAAGTTAAACCTATCTTATGATTGACCAGTTTTGGAACACTCTTTTCATAGGATCTGCAAGTGGATATTTGGCGTGCTTTGAGGCCTATCGTGGAAAAGCAAATAACTTCAGATAAAAACTATACAGAAGCATTCTGAGAAACTTCTTTGTGATGTGTGCATTGATCTCACAGAGTTGAAAGTGTATTTTGATTGAGCAGTTTTGAAACACTCTTTTTGTAGAATCTGCAAGTGGATAATTGGGGAGATTTGAGGTATATTGTGGAAAAGCAAGTATCTTCATATAAAAACTATACAGAAGCTTTCTGAGAAACATCTTTGTGAGGTTTGCATTCAACTCACAGAGCTGGAACTATCTTTTGAGTGACCAGTTTTGAATCTCTCTTTTTGTACAATCTGCAAGTGGATATTTGGAGCGTTTTGAGGCCTACATTTGAAAATCAAATATCTTCCCTTAAAAGCTACACAGAAACATTCTCAGAAATTGTTTGTCATGTGTGCTTTCAAATTACCAAGTTGAACCTACCTTGTGATTGAGCAGTTTTGAATCTCTCTTTTTGTGGAATCTGCAAGTGGATATTTTTAGCCATTTGCGGACTGTGGTGGAAAAGGAATTATCTTCAAATCCATTCTACACAGAAGCATTCAGACAAACTTTTTGTGATGAGTGCATTGGTCACACAGAATTGAACCTCTCCTTTGATTGAGCAATTCTGAAACACTCTTTCAGAGGGTCTGCAAGTGGATATTTTAGAGCTTTGGGACAATTGTGGAAAAGTAAATATCTTCACATAGAAACTACACGGAAGCATTCTGAGAAACTTCTTTGGAGGTGTGCATTCAACTCACAGAGTTGAACCTATCTTTTCATTGAGCAGTTTTGAATCTCTCTTTTTGTAGACTCTGCTTGCAGATACTTGGAGAGCTTTGAGGCCTATTGTGGAAAAGGAATCATCTTCACATAAAAACACACAGAAGCACTCTGAGAAACTTCTTTGTGAAGTGTGCATTCAACTCACAGAGTTGAACCTATCTTTTGATTGAGAAGCTTTGAATCTCTCTTTTTGTAGAAGCTGCATGTGGATATTTGGAGACGTTTGTGGCCTATGGTAGAAAAGGCAATATCTTCAAATAAAAACTAGACAGAAGCATTTTGAGAAATTTCTCTGTGCTGTGTGCATTCATATCACATGGTTGAAACTACCTTTTGGTTGAGCAGTTTTGAATCTCTCTTTTTGTAACATCTGCAATGGATATTTGGAGCCCTTTGTGGTCTGTGGTGGAAAAGGAACTATCCTCAAATAAAAACTACACAGAAGTATTCCGAGAAACTTCCTTGTGATGTGTGCATTCATCTCACAGGGTTGAACCTTTGGTTTGATTGAGCAGTTTTGAGACAATCTTTCCATAGAATCTGGAAGTGAATATTTGGAGAACCTTGAGATCTATTTTGGAGAAGGAGATATCTTTATATGAAAACTGCACAGAAGCATTCTGAGAAACATCTTTGTGAGGTGTGCAATGAAGTCACAGAGTTGAAACTATGTTTTGATTCAGCAGTTTTGAGTCTCTCTTTTTGCAGAATCTGCGAGTGGATATCTGGAGAACTTGGAGGCCTATTTGGAAAAGGAAATATCTTCACATATAAACTATGCAGAAGCATTTTGAGATTCTTCTTTGTGAGGTGTGCATGCAACTCACAGAGTTGAACTTATCTTTTCCTTGAGCACTTTCATATCTCATTTTCTGTAGAATCTGCAAGTGGATATTTGGAGCTCTTTGCACCCTGTGGTGGAAAGGGAACTATCTTCATATAAAAACTACAAAGAAGCATTCAGAGAAACTTCTTGTGATGAATGCATTCCTCACACAGAGCTGAACCTTTCTTTTTATGGAGCAGTATTGAAACGCTCTTTTTGCAGAATCACCAAGTGGATATTTGGAGAGCTTTGGGGCCTGTTTTGGAAAATGAAATATCTTCAAAGTAAAACTACACAGAACCATTCTGAGAAACTTCTTTATGATGTGTGCATTCAACTCTCAGAGTTGAACCTACCTTATGATTGAGCAATTTGGAAACACTCTTTTTGTAGAGCCTGCAAGTGGATATTTAGAACGATTTGAGGCCTATTGTGGAAAAGCAAATATCTTCACATAAAAACTACACAGAAGCATTCTGAGAAACTTCTTTGGCATGTGTGCATTCAACTAACAGTGTTGAACGTATCTTTTGATTGAGCAGCTTAGAATCTCTCTTTTTGTAGAAAATGCAAGTAGATATTTGGAGCCCCATTTTGCCCTATGGTAGAAAACAAAACATCTTCACATAAAATCTACACAGAAGCATTCTGAGAAACTTCTTTGTGATGTTTGCATTGAACTCCCAGAGTCGAACCTATCTTTTGATAGAGCACTTTTGTATCTCTCTTTTTGCGGAATCTGCAAGTGGATATTTGGAAAGCTTGAGGCCTATTGTGAAAAAGGAAATATCTTCACATAAAAACTACAGAGAAGCATTCTGAGAAACTTCTTTGTGAGGCATGGATTCAACCCACAGAGTTGGACTTGTCATTGAGCAGTTTTGAATCTCTCTTTTTGTCGAATCTGCAAGTGGATATTTGGAGCCCTTTGTAACCTAGGGTGGAAAAGGAAATACCTTCAAATAAAAACTATATAGAAGCATTCCGTAAAACTTCTTTGTGACGTGTGCATTCGTCTCACAGAGTTGAACCTATCTAATGATTGAGCGGTTTTGAAACACTCATTTTGTAGAACCTGCAAGTGGATATTGGGAGTACTTTGTGGCCTTCTTTGGAAAAGGGAATATCTTCACATAAAAACTACAAAGAAGCATTCTGAGAAACTTCTTTGTGATGTGTGCATTCATCTCACAGTGTTGGACGTTTCTTTTGATAGGGCAGTTTTGAAACACTCTTTTTCTAGAATCTGCAAGTGGATATTTGGAGCGCTTTGAGGCCTAATGTGGAAAATCAAATATCTTCACATAAAAACTACACAGAGGCATTCTGAGAAACTTCTTTTTTGTGTGTGCATTCAACTCACATAGTTGAAGTAATCTTTGGATTTAGCTGTTTTGAATCTCCTTTTTGCAGAATCTGCAAGTTGATACTTGGAGCCCTGTTTCACCCTATAGTGGAAAAGCAAATGTCTTCACATAAACAAACCCTACAGAGAAGCATTCAGAGAAAGTCCTTTGTGATGTGTGCATTGAACATGCAGAGTTGACACTATCTTTTGATTGTACAGTTTTGAATACGTCTTTTTGTAGAATCTGCAAGTGGAAGTTTGGAGCTGTTTGCACCCTGTGGTGTAAAAGGAAATATCTTCATATAAAAGCTACACAGAAGCATTCAGAAAGACTTCTTTGTGATGAATGCGTTCCTCACACAGAGTTGAATCTTCCTTTTTATTGAGTAGTATTGAAACCCTCTTTTTGCAGAATAACCAGGTGGATATTTGGAGAGCTTTGAGGCCTGTTTTGGAAAAGCAAATATCTTCAAATTAAAACCACACAGAAGCATTCTGAGAAGCTTCTTTGTGATGTGTGCATTCAACTCTCAGAGTTCAACGTGTCTTATGATGGAGCAGTTTGGAAACACTCTTTTTTGTAGAAACTGCAAGTGGATATGTAGAGCGATTTGAGGCCTACTGTGGAAAAGCAAATATCTTCACATAACAACTACACAGAAGCACTCCTAGAAACTTCTTTGTGATGTGTGAATTCAACTCACAGAGCTGAACCTATCTTTTGATGGAGTAGCTTAGAATCTCTCTTTTTTTAGAATCTGCACGTGGATATTTGGAGCGCTTTGAGACCTAAAGTGGAAAAGCAAATATCTTCACATAAAATCTACATAGAGGCACTCTAAGAAACTTCTTTTTGATGTGTGCATTCACCTCACAGAGCTGAACCGATCCTTTGAGTGACCAGTTTTGAATCTCTCTTTTTATACAATCTGCAAGTGGATATTTGGAGCCCTTTGCGGCCTATGGTGGAAAAGGAAATATCTTCAAATAAAAACTACACAGAAATACTGTGAGAAACTTCTTTGTTATGTGAGCATTCAACTCACAGAGTTGAACCTATCTTTTGATTGAGCAGTTTTGAATCTCTCATTTTGCAGAATCTGCAAGGGGATATTTGGAGCCCTTTGCGGCCTATGGTGGAAAAGGAAATACCTTCAAATGAAAAGCACACAGAGGCATTCTGAGAAACTTCCTCGTGATTGTGCATTCAACTCACAGAGTTAAACCTATCTTATGATTGACCAGTTTTGGAACACTCTTTTCATAGGATCTGCAAGTGGATATTTGGCGTGCTTTGAGGCCTATCGTGGAAAAGCAAACTATACAGAAGCATTCTGAGAAACTTCTTTGTGATGTGTGCATTGATCTCACAGAGTTGAAAGTGTATTTTGATTGAGCAGTTTTGAAACACTCTTTTTGTAGAATCTGCAAGTGGATAATTGGGGAGATTTGAGGTATATTGTGGAAAAGCAAGTATCTTCATATAAAAACTATACAGAAGCTTTCTGAGAAACATCTTTGTGAGGTTTGCATTCAACTCACAGAGCTGGAACTATCTTTTGAGTGACCAGTTTTGAATCTCTCTTTTTGTACAATCTGCAAGTGGATATTTGGAGCGTTTTGAGGCCTACATTTGAAAATCAAATATCTTCCCTTAAAATCTACATAGAAACATTCTCAGAAATTGTTTGTCATGTGGGCTTTCAAATTACCAAGTTGAACCTACCTTGTGATTGAGCAGTTCTGAGTCTCTCTTTTTGGGGAATCTGCAAATGGATATTTTTGGCCCTTTGCGGACTGTGGTGGAAAAGGAATTATCTTCAAATCCATTCTACACAGAAGCATTCAGACAAACTTCTTGGTGATGAGTGCATTGGTCACACAGAATTGAACCTCTCCTTTGATTGAGCAATTCTGAAACACTCTTTCAGAGGGTCTGCAAGTGGATATTTTAGATCTTTGGGACAATTGTGGAAAAGTAAATATCTTCACATAAAAACTACACGGAAGCATTCTGAGAAACTTCTTTGGAGGTGTGCATTCAACTCACAGAGTTGAACCTATCTTTTCATTGAGCAGTTTTGAATCTCTCTTTTTGTAGACTCTGCTTGCAGATATTTGGAGAGCTTTGAGGCCTATTGTGGAAAAGGGATCATCTTCACATAAAAACACACAGAAGCACTCTGAGAAACTTCTTTGTGAAGTGTGCATTCAACTCACAGAGTTGAACCTATCTTTTGATTGAGAAGCTTTGAATCTCTCTTTTTGTAGAAGCTGCATGTGGATATTTGGAGACGTTTGTGGCCTATGGTAGAAAAGGCAATATCTTCAAATAAAAACTAGACAGAAGCATTTTGAGAAATTTCTCTGTGCTGTGTGCATTCATATCACATGGTTGAAACTACCTTTTGATTGAGCAGTTTTGAATCTCTCTTTTTGTACCATCTGCAATGGATATTTGGAGCCCTTTGTGGTCTGTGGTGGAAAAGGAACTATCCTCAAATAAAAACTACACAGAAGTATTCCGAGAAACTTCCTTGTGATGTGTGCATTCATCTCATAGGGTTGAACCTTTGGTTTGATTGAGCAGTTTTGAGACAATCTTTCCATAGAATCTGGAAGTGAATATTTGGAGAACCTTGAGATCTATTTTGGAGAAGGAGATATCTTTATATAAAAACTGCACAGAAGCATTCTGAGAAACATCTTTGTGAGGTGTGCAATGAAGTCACAGAGTTGAAACTATGCTTTGATTCAGCAGTTTTGAGTCTCTCTTTTTGCAGAATCTGCGAGTGGATATCTGGAGAACTTGGAGGCCTATTTGGAAAAGGAAATATCTTCACATATAAACTATGCAGAAGCATTTTGAGATTCTTCTTTGTGAGGTGTGCATGCAACTAACAGAGTTGAACTTATCTTTTCCTTGAGCACTTTCGTATCTCATTTTCTGTAGAATCTGCAAGTGGATATTTGGAGCTCTTTGCACCCTGTGGTGGAAAGGGAACTATCTTCATATAAAAACTACAAAGAAGCATTCAGAGAAACTTCTTGTGATGAATGCATTCCTCACACAGAGTTGAACCTTTCTTTTTATTGAGCAGTATTGAAACGCTCTTTTTGCAGAATCACCAAGTGGATATTTGGAGAGCTTTGGGGCCTGTTTTGGAAAATGAAATATCTTCAAAGTAAAACTACACAGAACCATTCTGAGAAACTTCTTTATGATGTGTGCATTCAACTCTCAGAGTTGAACCTACCTTATGATTGAGCAATTTGGAAACACTCTTTTTGTAGAGTCTGCAAGTGGATATTTAGAACGATTTGAGGCCTATTGTGGAAAAGCAAATATCTCCACATAAAAACTACACAGAAGCCTTCTGAGAAACTTCGTTGGCATGTGTGCATTCAACTAACAGTGTTGAACGTATCTTTTGATTGAGCAGCTTAGAATCTCTCTTTTTGTAGAAAATGCAAGTAGATACTTGGAGCCCCATTTTGCCCTATGGTAGAAAACAGAACATCTACACATAAAATCTACACAGAAGCATTCTGAGAAACTTCTTTGTGATGTTTGCGTTGAACTCCCAGAGTCGAACCTATCTTTTGATAGAGCACTTTTGTATCTCTCTTTTTGTGGAATCTGCAAGTGGATATTTGGAAAGCTTGAGGCCTATTGTGAAAAAGGAAATATCTTCACATAAAAACTACAGGGAAGCATTCTGAGAAACTTCTTTGTGAGGCATGGATTCAACCCACAGAGTTGGACTTATCATTGAGCAGTTTTGAATCTCTCTTTTTGTCGAATCTGCAAGTGGATATTTGGAGCCCTTTGCAACCTAGGGTGGAAAAGGAAATACCTTCAAATAAAAACTATATAGAAGCATTCCGTAAAACTTCTTTGTGATGTGTGCATTCGTCTCACAGAGTTGAACCTATCTAATGATTGAGCGGTTTTGAAACACTCATTTTGTAGAACCTGCAAGTGGATATTGGGAGTACTTTGTGGCCTTCTTTGGAAAAGGGAATATCTTCACATAAAAACTACAAAGAAGCATTCTGAGAAACTTCTTTGTGATGTGTGCATTCATCTCACAGTGTTGGACGTTTCTTTTGATAGGGCAGTTTCGAAAGAGTCTTCTTGTAGAGTCTGCAAGTGGATATTTGGAGCGCTTTGAGGCCTAATGTGGAAAATCAAATATCTTCACATAAAAACTACACAGAGGCATTCTGAGAAACTTCATTTTTGTGTGTGCATTCAACTCACATAGTTGAAGTAATCTTTGGATTTAGCTGTTTTGAATCTCCTTTTTGCAGAATCTGCAAGTTGATACTTGGAGCCCTGTTTCACCCTATAGTGGAAAAGCAAATATCTTCACATAAACAAACCCTACAGAGAAGCATTCAGAGAAAGTCCTTTGTGATGTGTGCATTGAACATGCAGAGTTGACACTATCTTTTGATTGTACAGTTTTGAATACGTCTTTTTGTAGAATCTGCAAGTGGAAGTTTGGAGCTGTTTGCACCCTGTGGTGTAAAAGGAAATATCTTCATATAAAAGCTACACAGAAGCATTCAGAAAGACTTCTTTGTGATGAATGCGTTCCTCACACAGAGTTGAATCTTCCTTTTTATTGAGTAGTATTGAAACCCTCTTTTTGCAGAATAACCAGGTGGATATTTGGAGAGCTTTGAGGCCTGTTTTGGAAAAGGAAATATCTTCAAATTAAAACCACACAGAAGCATTCTGAGAAGCTTCTTTGTGATGTGTGCATTCAACTCTCAGAGTTCAACGTGTCTTATGATGGAGCAGTTTGGAAACACTCTTTTTTGTAGAAACTGCAAGTGGATATGTAGAGCGATTTGAGGCCTACTGTGGAAAAGCAAATATCTTCACATAACAACTACACAGAAGCACTCCTAGAAACTTCTTTGTGATGTGTGAATTCAACTCACAGAGCTGAACCTATCTTTTGATGGAGTAGCTTAGAATCTCTCTTTTTTTAGAATCTGCACGTGGATATTTGGAGCGCTTTGAGACCTAAAGTGGAAAAGCAAATATCTTCACATAAAATCTACATAGAGGCACTCTAAGAAACTTCTTTTTGATGTGTGCATTCACCTCACAGAGCTGAACCGATCCTTCGAGTGACCAGTTTTGAATCTCTCTTTTTATACAATCTGCAAGTGGATATTTGGAGCCCTTTGCGGCCTATGGTGGAAAAGGAAATATCTTCAAATAAAAACTACACAGAAATACTGTGAGAAACTTCTTTGTTATGTGAGCATTCAACTCACAGAGTTGAACCTATCTTTTGATTGAGCAGTTTTGAATCTCTCATTTTGCAGAATCTGCAAGGGGATATTTGGAGCCCTTTGCGGCCTATGGTGGAAAAGGAAATACCTTCAAATGAAAAGCACACAGAGGCATTCTGAGAAACTTCCTCGTGATTGTGCATTCAACTCACAGAGTTAAACCTATCTTATGATTGACCAGTTTTGGAACACTCTTTTCATAGGATCTGCAAGTGGATATTTGGCGTGCTTTGAGGCCTATCGTGGAAAAGCAAATAACTTCAGATAAAAACTATACAGAAGCATTCTGAGAAACTTCTTTGTGATGTGTGCATTGATCTCACAGAGTTGAAAGTGTATTTTGATTGAGCAGTTTTGAAACACTCTTTTTGTAGAATCTGCAAGTGGATAATTGGGGAGATTTGAGGTATATTGTGGAAAAGCAAGTATCTTCATATAAAACTATACAGAAGCGTTCTGAGAAACATCTTTGTGAGGTTTGCATTCAACTCACAGAGCTGGACCTATCTCTTGAGTGACCAGTTTTGAATCTCTCTTTTTGTTCAATCTGCAAGTGGATATTTGGAGCGATTTGAGGCCTACATTTGAAAATCAAATATCTTCCCTTAAAAACTACACAGAAACATTCTCAGAAATTGTTTGTCATGTGGGCTTTCAAATTACCAAGTTGAACCTATCTTGTGATTGAGCAGTTCTGAATCTCTCTTTTTGTGGAATCTGCAAATGGATATTTTTAGCCCTTTGCGGACTGTGGTGGAAAAGGAATTATCTTCAAATCCATTCTACACAGAAGCATTCAGACAAACTTCTTGGTGATGAGTGCATTGGTCACACAGAATTGAACCTCTCCTTTGATTGAGCAATTCTGAAACACTCTTTCAGAGGGTCTGCAAGTGGATATTTTAGAGCTTTGGGACAATTGTGGAAAAGTAAATATCTTCACATAGAAACTACACGGAAGCATTCTGAGAAACTTCTTTGGAGGTGTGCATTCAACTCACAGAGTTGAACCTATCTTTTCATTGAGCAGTTTTGAATCTCTCTTTTTGTAGACTCTGCTTGCAGATATTTGGAGAGCTTTGAGGCCTATTGTGGAAAAGGGAATATGTTCACATAAAAACACACAGAAGCACTCTGAGAAACTTCTTTGTGAGGTGTGCATTCAACTCACAGAGTTGAACCTATCTTTTGATGGAGAAGTTTTGAATCTCTCTTTTTGTAGAAGCTGCATGTGGATATTTGGAGACGTTTGTGGCCTATGGTAGAAAAGGATATATCTTCAAATAAAAACTAGACAGAAGCATTTTGAGAAAATTCTCTGTGCTGTGTGCATTCATATCACATGGTTGAAACTACCTTTTGATTGAGCAGTTTCGAGTCTCTCTGTTTGTACCATCTGCAATGGATATTTGGAGCCCTTTGTGGTCTGTGGTGGAAAAGGAACTATCCTCAAATAAAAACTACACGGAAGTATTCTGAGAAACTTCTTTGTGATGTGTGCATTTATCTCACAGAGTTGAACCTTTGGTTTGATTGAGCAGTTTTGAGATAATCTTTCCATAGAATCTGGAAGTGAATACTTGGATAACTTTGAGATCTATTTTGGAGAAGGAGATATCTTTATATAAAAACTGCACAGAAGCATTCTGAGAAACATCTTTGTGAGGTGTGCAATGAAGTCACAGAGTTGAAACTATCTTTTGATTCAGCAGTTTTGAGTCTCTCTTTTTGCAGAATCTGCGAGTGGATATCTGGAGAACGTTGAGGCCTACTTGGAAAAGGAAATATCTTCACATAAAAACTACGCAGAAGCATTTTGAGATACTTCTTTGTGAGGTGTGCATTCAACTCACAGAGTTGAACTTATCTTTCCATGGAGCACTTTCATATCTCTTTTTTTGTGGAATCTGCAAGTGGATATTTGGAGCTCTTTGCACCCTGTGGTGGAAAGGGAAATATCTTCATATAAAAACTACAAAGAAGCATTCAGAGAAACTTCTTTGTGATGAATGCATTCCTCACACAGAGTTGAGCCTTTCTTTTTATTGAGCAGTATTGAAACGCTCCTTTTGCAGAATCACCAAGTGGATATTTGGAGAGCTTTGGGGCCTGATTTGGAAAATGAAATATCTTCAAAGTAAAACTACACAGAACCATTCTGAGAAACTTCTTCATGATGTGAGCATTCAACTCTCAGAGTTGAAGCTACCTTATGATTGAGCAATTTGGAAACACTCTTTTTGTAGAGCCTGCAAGTGGATATTTAGAACGATTTGAGGCCTATTGTGGAAAAGCAAATATCTTCACATAAAAACTACACAGAAGCATTCTCAGAAACTTCTTTGGGATGTGTGCATTCAACTAACAGTGTTGAACCTATCTTTTGATTGAGCAGCTTAGAATCTCTCCTTTTGTAGAAAATGCAAGTAGAGATTTGGAGCCCCATTTCGCCCTATGGTAGAAAACAGAACATCTTCACATAAAAACTACACAGAAGCATTCTGAGAAACTTCTTTGTGATGTTTGCATTGAACTCCCAGAGTCGAACCTATCTTTTGATAGAGCACTTTTGTATCTCTCTTTTTGCGGAATCTGCAAGTGGATATTTGGAAAGCTTGAGGCCTATTGTGAAAAAGGAAATATCTTCACATAAAAACTACAGAGAAGCATTCTGAGAAACTTCTTTGTGAGGCATGGATTCAACCCACAGAGTTGGACTTATCATTGAGCAGTTTTGAATCTCTCTTTTTGTCGAATCTGCAAGTGGATATTTGGAGCCCTTTGCAACCTAGGGTGGAAAAGGAAATACCTTCAAATAAAAACTATATAGAAGCATTCCGTAAAACTTCTTTGTGATGTGTGCATTCGTCTCACAGAGTTGAACCTATCTAATGATTGAGCGGTTTTGAAACACTCATTTTGTAGAACCTGCAAGTGGATATTGGGAGTACTTTGTGGCCTTCTTTGGAAAAGGGAATATCTTCACATAAAAACTACAAAGAAGCATTCTGAGAAACTTCTTTGTGATGTGTGCATTCATCTCACAGTGTTGGACGTTTCTTTTGATAGGGCAGTTTTGAAACACTCTTTTTCTAGAATCTGCAAGTGGATATTTGGAGCGCTTTGAGGCCTAATGTGGAAAATCAAATATCTTCACATAAAAACTACACAGAGGCATTCTGAGAAACTTCTTTTTTGTGTGTGCATTCAACTCACATAGTTGAAGTAATCTTTGGATTTAGCTGTTTTGAATCTCCTTTTTGCAGAATCTGCAAGTTGATACTTGGAGCCCTGTTTCACCCTATAGTGGAAAAGCAAATGTCTTCACATAAACAAACCCTACAGAGAAGCATTCAGAGAAAGTCCTTTGTGATGTGTGCATTGAACATGCAGAGTTGACACTATCTTTTGATTGTACAGTTTTGAATACGTCTTTTTGTAGAATCTGCAAGTGGAAGTTTGGAGCTGTTTGCACCCTGTGGTGTAAAAGGAAATATCTTCATATAAAAGCTACACAGAAGCATTCAGAAAGACTTCTTTGTGATGAATGCGTTCCTCACACAGAGTTGAATCTTCCTTTTTATTGAGTAGTATTGAAACCCTCTTTTTGCAGAATAACCAGGTGGATATTTGGAGAGCTTTGAGGCCTGTTTTGGAAAAGCAAATATCTTCAAATTAAAACCACACAGAAGCATTCTGAGAAGCTTCTTTGTGATGTGTGCATTCAACTCTCAGAGTTCAACGTGTCTTATGATGGAGCAGTTTGGAAACACTCTTTTTTGTAGAAACTGCAAGTGGATATGTAGAGCGATTTGAGGCCTACTGTGGAAAAGCAAATATCTTCACATAACAACTACACAGAAGCACTCCTAGAAACTTCTTTGTGATGTGTGAATTCAACTCACAGAGCTGAACCTATCTTTTGATGGAGTAGCTTAGAATCTCTCTTTTTTTAGAATCTGCACGTGGATATTTGGAGCGCTTTGAGACCTAAAGTGGAAAAGCAAATATCTTCACATAAAATCTACATAGAGGCACTCTAAGAAACTTCTTTTTGATGTGTGCATTCACCTCACAGAGCTGAACCGATCCTTCGAGTGACCAGTTTTGAATCTCTCTTTTTATACAATCTGCAAGTGGATATTTGGAGCCCTTTGCGGCCTATGGTGGAAAAGGAAATATCTTCAAATAAAAACTACACAGAAGAAACTTCTTTGTTATGTGAGCATTCAACTCACAGAGTTGAACCTATCTTTTGATTGAGCAGTTTTGAATCTCTCATTTTGCAGAATCTGCAAGGGGATATTTGGAGCCCTTTGCGGCCTATGGTGGAAAAGGAAATACCTTCAAATGAAAAGCACACAGAGGCATTCTGAGAAACTTCCTCGTGATTGTGCATTCAACTCACAGAGTTAAACCTATCTTATGATTGACCAGTTTTGGAACACTCTTTTCATAGGATCTGCAAGTGGATATTTGGCGTGCTTTGAGGCCTATCGTGGAAAAGCAAATAACTTCAGATAAAAACTATACAGAAGCATTCTGAGAAACTTCTTTGTGATGTGTGCATTGATCTCACAGAGTTGAAAGTGTATTTTGATTGAGCAGTTTTGAAACACTCTTTTTGTAGAATCTGCAAGTGGATAATTGGGGAGATTTGAGGTATATTGTGGAAAAGCAAGTATCTTCATATAAAAACTATACAGAAGCTTTCTGAGAAACATCTTTGTGAGGTTTGCATTCAACTCACAGAGCTGGAACTATCTTTTGAGTGACCAGTTTTGAATCTCTCTTTTTGTACAATCTGCAAGTGGATATTTGGAGCGTTTTGAGGCCTACATTTGAAAATCAAATATCTTCCCTTAAAAGCTACACAGAAACATTCTCAGAAATTGTTTGTCATGTGTGCTTTCAAATTACCAAGTTGAACCTACCTTGTGATTGAGCAGTTTTGAATCTCTCTTTTTGTGGAATCTGCAAGTGGATATTTTTAGCCATTTGCGGACTGTGGTGGAAAAGGAATTATCTTCAAATCCATTCTACACAGAAGCATTCAGACAAACTTTTTGTGATGAGTGCATTGGTCACACAGAATTGAACCTCTCCTTTGATTGAGCAATTCTGAAACACTCTTTCAGAGGGTCTGCAAGTGGATATTTTAGAGCTTTGGGACAATTGTGGAAAAGTAAATATCTTCACATAGAAACTACACGGAAGCATTCTGAGAAACTTCTTTGGAGGTGTGCATTCAACTCACAGAGTTGAACCTATCTTTTCATTGAGCAGTTTTGAATCTCTCTTTTTGTAGACTCTGCTTGCAGATATTTGGAGAGCTTTGAGGCCTATTGTGGAAAAGGAATCATCTTCACATAAAAACACACAGAAGCACTCTGAGAAACTTCTTTGTGAAGTGTGCATTCAACTCACAGAGTTGAACCTATCTTTTGATTGAGAAGCTTTGAATCTCTCTTTTTGTAGAAGCTGCATGTGGATATTTGGAGACGTTTGTGGCCTATGGTAGAAAAGGCAATATCTTCAAATAAAAACTAGACAGAAGCATTTTGAGAAATTTCTCTGTGCTGTGTGCATTCATATCACATGGTTGAAACTACCTTTTGATTGAGCAGTTTTGAATCTCTCTTTTTGTACCATCTGCAATGGATATTTGGAGCCCTTTGTGGTCTGTGGTGGAAAAGGAACTATCCTCAAATAAAAACTACACAGAAGTATTCCGAGAAACTTCCTTGTGATGTGTGCATTCATCTCATAGGGTTGAACCTTTGGTTTGATTGAGCAGTTTTGAGACAATCTTTCCATAGAATCTGGAAGTGAATATTTGGAGAACCTTGAGATCTATTTTGGAGAAGGAGATATCTTTATATAAAAACTGCACAGAAGCATTCTGAGAAACATCTTTGTGAGGTGTGCAATGAAGTCACAGAGTTGAAACTATGTTTTGATTCAGCAGTTTTGAGTCTCTCTTTTTACAGAATCTGCGAGTGGATATCTGGAGAACTTGGAGGCCTATTTGGAAAAGGAAATATCTTCACATATAAACTATGCAGAAGCATTTTGAGATTCTTCTTTGTGAGGTGTGCATGCAACTCACAGAGTTGAACTTATCTTTTCCTTGAGCACTTTCATATCTCATTTTCTGTAGAATCTGCAAGTGGATATTTGGAGCTCTTTGCACCCTGTGGTGGAAAGGGAACTATTTTCATATAAAAACTACAAAGAAGCATTCAGAGAAACTTCTTTGTGATGAATGCATTCCTCACACAGAGCTGAACGTTTCTTTTTATTGAGCAGTATTGAAACGCTCTTTTTGCAGAATCACCAAGTGGATATTTGGAGAGCTTTGGGGCCTGTTTTGGAAAATGAAATATCTTCAAAGTAAAACTACACAGAACCATTCTGAGAAACTTCTTCATGATGTGAGCATTCAACTCTCAGAGTTGAAGCTACCTTATGATTGAGCAATTTGGAAACACTCTTTTTGTAGAGCCTGCAAGTGGATATTTAGAACAGATTTGAGGCCTATTGTGGAAAAGCAAATATCTTCACATAAAAACTACACAGAAAGCATTCTCAGAGACTTCTTTGGGATGTGTGCATTCAACTAACAGTGTTGAACCTATCTTTTGATTGAGCAGCTTAGAATCTCTCCTTTTGTAGAAAATGCAAGTAGAGATTTGGAGCCCCATTTCGCCCTATGGTAGAAAACAGAACATCTTCACATAAAAACTACGCAGAAGCATTCTGAGAAACTTCTTTGTGATGTTTGCATTGAACTCCCAGAGTCGAACCTATCTTTTGATAGAGCAGTTTTGTATCTCTCTTTTTGCAGAATCTGCAAGTGGATATTTGGAAAGCTTGAGGCCTATTGTGAAAAAGGAAATATCTTCACATAGAAACTACAGAGAAGCATTCTGAGAAACTTCTCTGTGAGGCATGGATTCAACCCACAGAGTTGGACTTATCATTGAGCAGTTTTGAATCTCTCTTTTGGTCGAATCTGCAAGTGGATATTTGGAGCCCTTTTGCAACCTATGGTGGAAAAGGAAACACCTTCACATAAAAACTATATAGAAGCATTCCGAAAAACTTCTTTGTGATGTGTGCATTCATCTCACAGAGTTGAACCTATCTAATGATTGAGCAGTTTTGAAACACTCATTTTGTAGAACCTGGAAGTGGATATTGGGAGTAGTTTGTGGCCTTCTTTGGAAAAGGAAATATCTTCACATGAAAACTACAAAGAAGCATTCTGAGAAACTTCTTTGTGATGTGTGCATGCATCTCACAGTGTTGGACGTTTCCTTTTGATGGGGCAGTTTCGAAAGAGTCTTCTTGTAGAGTCTGCAAGTGGATATTTGGAGCGCTTTGAGGCCTAATGTGGAAAATCAAATATCTTCACATAAAAACTACACAGAGGCATTCTGAGAAACTTCTTTTTTGTGTGTGCATTCAACTCACATAGTTGAAGTTATCTTTCGATTTAGCTGTTTTGAATCTCCTTTTTGCAGAATCTGCAAGTTGATACCTGGAGCCCTGTTTCACCCTATAGTGGAAAAGCAAATCTCTTCACATAAACAAACACTACAGAGAAGCATTCAGAGTAAAGTCCTTTGTGATGTGTGCATTGAACACGCAGAGTTGAAACTATCTTTTGATTGTACAGTTTTGAATATCTCTTTTTGTAGAATCTGCAAGTGGAAGTTTGGAGCTGTTTGCACGCTGTGGTGCAAAAGGAAATATCTTCATATAAAAACTACACAGAAGCTTTCAGAGAGACTTCTTTGTGAGGAATGCGTTCCTCACACAGAGTTGAATCTACCTTTTTATTGAGTAGTTTTGAAACCCTCTTTTTGCAGAATAACCAGGGGGATATTTGGAGAGCTTTGAGGCCTGTTTTGGAAAAGGAAATATCTTCAAATTAAAACCACACAGACGCATTCTGAGAAACTTCTTTGTGATGTGTGCATTCAACTCTCAGAGTTGAACGTGTCTTATGATGGAGCAGTTTGGAAACACTCTTTTTGTAGAAACTGCAAGTGGATATGTAGAGCGATTTGAGGCCTACTGTGCAAAAGCAAATATCTTCACATAACAACTACACAGAAGCACTCCTAGAAACTTCTTTGTGATGTGTGAATTCAACTCACAGAGCTGAACCTATCTTTTGATGGAGTAGCTTAGAATGTCTCTTTTTTTAGAATCTGCACATGGATATTTGGAGCGCTTTGAGACCTAAAGTGGAAAAGCAAATATCTTCACATAAAATCTACATAGAGGCACTCTAAGAAACTTCTTTTTGATGTGTGCATTCACCTCACAGAGCTGAACCGATCCTTCGAGTGACCAGTTTTGAATCTCTCTTTTTATACAATCTGCAAGTGGATATTTGGAGCCCTTTGCGGCCTATGGTGGAAAAGGAAATATCTTCAAATAAAAACTACACAGAAATACTGTGAGAAACTTCTTTGTTATGTGAGCATTCAACTCACAGAGTTGAACCTATCTTTTGATTGAGCAGTTTTGAATCTCTCATTTTGCAGAATCTGCAAGGGGATATTTGGAGCCCTTTGCGGCCTATGGTGGAAAAGGAAATACCTTCAAATGAAAAGCACACAGAGGCATTCTGAGAAACTTCCTCGTGATTGTGCATTCAACTCACAGAGTTAAACCTATCTTATGATTGACCAGTTTTGGAACACTCTTTTCATAGGATCTGCAAGTGGATATTTGGCGTGCTTTGAGGCCTATCGTGGAAAAGCAAATAACTTCAGATAAAAACTATACAGAAGCATTCTGAGAAACTTCTTTGTGATGTGTGCATTGATCTCACAGAGTTGAAAGTGTATTTTGATTGAGCAGTTTTGAAACACTCTTTTTGTAGAATCTGCAAGTGGATAATTGGGGAGATTTGAGGTATATTGTGGAAAAGCAAGTATCTTCATATAAAAACTATACAGAAGCTTTCTGAGAAACATCTTTGTGAGGTTTGCATTCAACTCACAGAGCTGGAACTATCTTTTGAGTGACCAGTTTTGAATCTCTCTTTTTGTACAATCTGCAAGTGGATATTTGGAGCGTTTTGAGGCCTACATTTGAAAATCAAATATCTTCCCTTAAAAGCTACACAGAAACATTCTCAGAAATTGTTTGTCATGTGTGCTTTCAAATTACCAAGTTGAACCTACCTTGTGATTGAGCAGTTTTGAATCTCTCTTTTTGTGGAATCTGCAAGTGGATATTTTTAGCCATTTGCGGACTGTGGTGGAAAAGGAATTATCTTCAAATCCATTCTACACAGAAAGCATTCAGACAAACTTTTTGTGATGAGTGCATTGGTCACACAGAATTGAACCTCTCCTTTGATTGAGCAATTCTGAAGCACTCTTTCAGAGGGTCTGCAAGTGGATATTTTAGAGCTTTGGGACAATTGTGGAAAAGTAAATATCTTCACATAGAAACTACACGGAAGCATTCTGAGAAACTTCTTTGGAGGTGTGCATTCAACTCACAGAGTTGAACCTATCTTTTCATTGAGCAGTTTTGAATCTCTCTTTTTGTAGACTCTGCTTGCAGATATTTGGAGAGCTTTGAGGCCTATTGTGGAAAAGGGATCATCTTCACATAAAAACACACAGAAGCACTCTGAGAAACTTCTTTGTGAAGTGTGCATTCAACTCACAGAGTTGAACCTATCTTTTGATTGAGAAGCTTTGAATCTCTCTTTTTGTAGAAGCTGCATGTGGATATTTGGAGACGTTTGTGGCCTATGGTAGAAAAGGCAATATCTTCAAATAAAAACTAGACAGAAGCATTTTGAGAAATTTCTCTGTGCTGTGTGCATTCATATCACATGGTTGAAACTACCTTTTGATTGAGCAGTTTTGAATCTCTCTTTTTGTACCATCTGCAATGGATATTTGGAGCCCTTTGTGGTCTGTGGTGGAAAAGGAACTATCCTCAAATAAAAACTACACAGAAGTATTCCGAGAAACTTCCTTGTGATGTGTGCATTCATCTCATAGGGTTGAACCTTTGGTTTGATTGAGCAGTTTTGAGACAATCTTTCCATAGAATCTGGAAGTGAATATTTGGAGAACCTTGAGATCTATTTTGGAGAAGGAGATATCTTTATATAAAAACTGCACAGAAGCATTCTGAGAAACATCTTTGTGAGGTGTGCAATGAAGTCACAGAGTTGAAACTATGTTTTGATTCAGCAGTTTTGAGTCTCTCTTTTTGCAGAATCTGCGAGTGGATATCTGGAGAACTTGGAGGCCTATTTGGAAAAGGAAATATCTTCACATATAAACTATACAGAAGCATTTTGAGATTCTTCTTTGTGAGGTGTGCATGCAACTCACAGAGTTGAACTTATCTTTTCCTTGAGCACTTTCGTATCTCATTTTCTGTAGAATCTGCAAGTGGATATTTGGAGCTCTTTGCACCCTGTGGTGGAAAGGGAACTATCTTCATATAAAAACTACAAAGAAGCATTCAGAGAAACTTCTTTGTGATGAATGCATTCCTCACACAGAGCTGAACGTTTCTTTTTATTGAGCAGTATTGAAACGCTCTTTTTGCAGAATCACCAAGTAGATATTTGGAGAGCTTTGGGGCCTGTTTTGGAAAATGAAATATCTTCAAAGTAAAACTACACAGAACCATTCTGAGAAACTTCTTTATGATGTGTGCATTCAACTCTCAGAGTTGAACCTACCTTATGACTGACCAATTTGGAAACACTCTTTTTGTAGAGCCTGCAAGTGGATATTTAGAACGATTTGAGGCCTATTGTGGAAAAGCAAATATCTTCACATAAAAACTACACAGAAGCATTCTGAGAAACTTCTTTGGCATGTGTGCATTCAACTAACAGTGTTGAACGTATCTTTTGATTGAGCAGCTTAGAATCTCTCTTTTTGTAGAAAATGCAAGTAGAGATTTGGAGCCCCATTTTGCCCTATGGTAGAAAACAGAACATCTTCACATAAAAACTACACAGAAGCATTCTGAGAAACTTCTTTGTGATGTTTGCATTGAACTCCCAGAGTCGAACCTATCTTTTGATAGAGCACTTTTGTATCTCTCTTTTTGCGGAATCTGCAAGTGGATATTTGGAAAGCTTGAGACCTATTGTGAAAAAGGAAATATCTTCACATAAAAACTACAGAGAAGCATTCTGAGAAACTTCTTTGTGAGGCATGGATTCAACCCACAGAGTTGGACTTATCATTGAGCAGTTTTGAATGTCTCTTTTTGTCGAATCTGCAAGTGGATATTTGGAGCCCTTGGCAACCTAGGGTGGAAAAGGAAATACCTTCAAATAAAAACTATATAGAAGCATTCCGTAAAACTTCTTTGTGACGTGTGCATTCGTCTCACAGAGTTGAACCTATCTAATGATTGAGCGGTTTTGAAACACTCATTTTGTAGAACCTGCAAGTGGATATTGGGAGTACTTTGTGGCCTTCTTTGGAAAAGGGAATATCTTCACATAAAAATTACAAAGAAGCATTCTGAGAAACTTCTTTGTGATGTGTGCATTCATCTCACAGTGTTGGACGTTTCTTTTGATAGGGCAGTTTTGAAACACTCTTTTTCTAGAATCTGCAAGTGGATATTTGGAGCGCTTTGAGGCCTAATGTGGAAAATCAAATATCTTCACATAAAAACTACACAGAGGCATTCTGAGAAACTTCTTTTTTGTGTGTGCATTCAACTCACATAGTTGAAGTAATCTTTGGATTTAGCTGTTTTGAATCTCCTTTTTGCAGAATCTGCAAGTTGATACTTGGAGCCCTGTTTCACCCTATAGTGGAAAAGCAAATATCTTCACATAAACAAACCCTACAGAGAAGCATTCAGAGAAAGTCCTTTGTGATGTGTGCATTGAACATGCAGAGTTGACACTATCTTTTGATTGTACAGTTTTGAATACGTCTTTTTGTAGAATCTGCAAGTGGAAGTTTGGAGCTGTTTGCACCCTGTGGTGTAAAAGGAAATATCTTCATATAAAAGCTACACAGAAGCATTCAGAAAGACTTCTTTGTGATGAATGCGTTCCTCACACAGAGTTGAATCTTCCTTTTTATTGAGTAGTATTGAAACCCTCTTTTTGCAGAATAACCAGGTGGATATTTGGAGAGCTTTGAGGCCTGTTTTGGAAAAGGAAATATCTTCAAATTAAAACCACACAGAAGCATTCTGAGAAGCTTCTTTGTGATGTGTGCATTCAACTCTCAGAGTTCAACGTGTCTTATGATGGAGCAGTTTGGAAACACTCTTTTTGTAGAAACTGCAAGTGGATATGTAGAGCGATTTGAGGCCTACTGTGGAAAAGCAAATATCTTCACATAACAACTACACAGAAGCACTCCTAGAAACTTCTTTGTGATGTGTGAATTCAACTCACAGAGCTGAACCTATCTTTTGATGGAGTAGCTTAGAATCTCTCTTTTTTTAGAATCTGCACGTGGATATTTGGAGCGCTTTGAGACCTAAAGTGGAAAAGCAAATATCTTCACATAAAATCTACATAGAGGCACTCTAAGAAACTTCTTTTTGATGTGTGCATTCACCTCACAGAGCTGAACCGATCCTTCGAGTGACCAGTTTTGAATCTCTCTTTTTATACAATCTGCAAGTGGATATTTGGAGCCCTTTGCGGCCTATGGTGGAAAAGGAAATATCTTCAAATAAAAACTACACAGAAGAAACTTCTTTGTTATGTGAGCATTCAACTCACAGAGTTGAACCTATCTTTTGATTGAGCAGTTTTGAATCTCTCATTTTGCAGAATCTGCAAGGGGATATTTGGAGCCCTTTGCGGCCTATGGTGGAAAAGGAAATACCTTCAAATGAAAAGCACACAGAGGCATTCTGAGAAACTTCCTCGTGATTGTGCATTCAACTCACAGAGTTAAACCTATCTTATGATTGACCAGTTTTGGAACACTCTTTTCATAGGATCTGCAAGTGGATATTTGGCGTGCTTTGAGGCCTATCGTGGAAAAGCAAATAACTTCAGATAAAAACTATACAGAAGCATTCTGAGAAACTTCTTTGTGATGTGTGCATTGATCTCACAGAGTTGAAAGTGTATTTTGATTGAGCAGTTTTGAAACACTCTTTTTGTAGAATCTGCAAGTGGATAATTGGGGAGATTTGAGGTATATTGTGGAAAAGCAAGTATCTTCATATAAAAACTATACAGAAGCTTTCTGAGAAACATCTTTGTGAGGTTTGCATTCAACTCACAGAGCTGGAACTATCTTTTGAGTGACCAGTTTTGAATCTCTCTTTTTGTACAATCTGCAAGTGGATATTTGGAGCGTTTTGAGGCCTACATTTGAAAATCAAATATCTTCCCTTAAAAGCTACACAGAAAACATTCTCAGAAATTGTTTGTCATGTGTGCTTTCAAATTACCAAGTTGAACCTACCTTGTGATTGAGCAGTTTTGAATCTCTCTTTTTGTGGAATCTGCAAGTGGATATTTTTAGCCATTTGCGGACTGTGGTGGAAAAGGAATTATCTTCAAATCCATTCTACACAGAAGCATTCAGACAAACTTTTTGTGATGAGTGCATTGGTCACACAGAATTGAACCTCTCCTTTGATTGAGCAATTCTGAAACACTCTTTCAGAGGGTCTGCAAGTGGATATTTTAGAGCTTTGGGACAATTGTGGAAAAGTAAATATCTTCACATAGAAACTACACGGAAGCATTCTGAGAAACTTCTTTGGAGGTGTGCATTCAACTCACAGAGTTGAACCTATCTTTTCATTGAGCAGTTTTGAATCTCTCTTTTTGTAGACTCTGCTTGCAGATACTTGGAGAGCTTTGAGGCCTATTGTGGAAAAGGAATCATCTTCACATAAAAACACACAGAAGCACTCTGAGAAACTTCTTTGTGAAGTGTGCATTCAACTCACAGAGTTGAACCTATCTTTTGATTGAGAAGCTTTGAATCTCTCTTTTTGTAGAAGCTGCATGTGGATATTTGGAGACGTTTGTGGCCTATGGTAGAAAAGGCAATATCTTCAAATAAAAACTAGACAGAAGCATTTTGAGAAATTTCTCTGTGCTGTGTGCATTCATATCACATGGTTGAAACTACCTTTTGGTTGAGCAGTTTTGAATCTCTCTTTTTGTAACATCTGCAATGGATATTTGGAGCCCTTTGTGGTCTGTGGTGGAAAAGGAACTATCCTCAAATAAAAACTACACAGAAGTATTCCGAGAAACTTCCTTGTGATGTGTGCATTCATCTCACAGGGTTGAACCTTTGGTTTGATTGAGCAGTTTTGAGACAATCTTTCCATAGAATCTGGAAGTGAATATTTGGAGAACCTTGAGATCTATTTTGGAGAAGGAGATATCTTTATATGAAAACTGCACAGAAGCATTCTGAGAAACATCTTTGTGAGGTGTGCAATGAAGTCACAGAGTTGAAACTATGTTTTGATTCAGCAGTTTTGAGTCTCTCTTTTTGCAGAATCTGCGAGTGGATATCTGGAGAACTTGGAGGCCTATTTGGAAAAGGAAATATCTTCACATATAAACTATGCAGAAGCATTTTGAGATTCTTCTTTGTGAGGTGTGCATGCAACTCACAGAGTTGAACTTATCTTTTCCTTGAGCACTTTCATATCTCATTTTCTGTAGAATCTGCAAGTGGATATTTGGAGCTCTTTGCACCCTGTGGTGGAAAGGGAACTATCTTCATATAAAAACTACAAAGAAGCATTCAGAGAAACTTCTTGTGATGAATGCATTCCTCACACAGAGCTGAACCTTTCTTTTTATGGAGCAGTATTGAAACGCTCTTTTTGCAGAATCACCAAGTGGATATTTGGAGAGCTTTGGGGCCTGTTTTGGAAAATGAAATATCTTCAAAGTAAAACTACACAGAACCATTCTGAGAAACTTCTTTATGATGTGTGCATTCAACTCTCAGAGTTGAACCTACCTTATGATTGAGCAATTTGGAAACACTCTTTTTGTAGAGCCTGCAAGTGGATATTTAGAACGATTTGAGGCCTATTGTGGAAAAGCAAATATCTTCACATAAAAACTACACAGAAGCATTCTGAGAAACTTCTTTGGCATGTGTGCATTCAACTAACAGTGTTGAACGTATCTTTTGATTGAGCAGCTTAGAATCTCTCTTTTTGTAGAAAATGCAAGTAGATATTTGGAGCCCCATTTTGCCCTATGGTAGAAAACAAAACATCTTCACATAAAATCTACACAGAAGCATTCTGAGAAACTTCTTTGTGATGTTTGCATTGAACTCCCAGAGTCGAACCTATCTTTTGATAGAGCACTTTTGTATCTCTCTTTTTGCGGAATCTGCAAGTGGATATTTGGAAAGCTTGAGGCCTATTGTGAAAAAGGAAATATCTTCACATAAAAACTACAGAGAAGCATTCTGAGAAACTTCTTTGTGAGGCATGGATTCAACCCACAGAGTTGGACTTGTCATTGAGCAGTTTTGAATCTCTCTTTTTGTCGAATCTGCAAGTGGATATTTGGAGCCCTTTGCAACCTAGGGTGGAAAAGGAAATACCTTCAAATAAAAACTATATAGAAGCATTCCGTAAAACTTCTTTGTGACGTGTGCATTCGTCTCACAGAGTTGAACCTATCTAATGATTGAGCGGTTTTGAAACACTCATTTTGTAGAACCTGCAAGTGGATATTGGGAGTACTTTGTGGCCTTCTTTGGAAAAGGGAATATCTTCACATAAAAACTACAAAGAAGCATTCTGAGAAACTTCTTTGTGATGTGTGCATTCATCTCACAGTGTTGGACGTTTCTTTTGATAGGGCAGTTTTGAAACACTCTTTTTCTAGAATCTGCAAGTGGATATTTGGAGCGCTTTGAGGCCTAATGTGGAAAATCAAATATCTTCACATAAAAACTACACAGAGGCATTCTGAGAAACTTCTTTTTTGTGTGTGCATTCAACTCACATAGTTGAAGTAATCTTTGGATTTAGCTGTTTTGAATCTCCTTTTTGCAGAATCTGCAAGTTGATACTTGGAGCCCTGTTTCACCCTATAGTGGAAAAGCAAATATCTTCACATAAACAAACCCTACAGAGAAGCATTCAGAGAAAGTCCTTTGTGATGTGTGCATTGAACATGCAGAGTTGACACTATCTTTTGATTGTACAGTTTTGAATACGTCTTTTTGTAGAATCTGCAAGTGGAAGTTTGGAGCTGTTTGCACCCTGTGGTGTAAAAGGAAATATCTTCATATAAAAGCTACACAGAAGCATTCAGAAAGACTTCTTTGTGATGAATGCGTTCCTCACACAGAGTTGAATCTTCCTTTTTATTGAGTAGTATTGAAACCCTCTTTTTGCAGAATAACCAGGTGGATATTCGGAGAGCTTTGAGGCCTGTTTTGGAAAAGGAAATATCTTCAAATTAAAACCACACAGAAGCATTCTGAGAAGCTTCTTTGTGATGTGTGCATTCAACTCTCAGAGTTGAACGTGTCTTATGATGGAGCAGTTTGGAAACACTCTTTTTGTAGAAACTGCAAGTGGATATGTAGAGCGATTTGAGGCCTACTGTGGAAAAGCAAATATCTTCACATAACAACTACACAGAAGCACTCCTAGAAACTTCTTTGTGATGTGTGAATTCAACTCACAGAGCTGAACCTATCTTTTGATGGAGTAGCTTAGAATCTCTCTTTTTTTAGAATCTGCACGTGGATATTTGGAGCGCTTTGAGACCTAAAGTGGAAAAGCAAATATCTTCACATAAAATCTACATAGAGGCACTCTAAGAAACTTCTTTTTGATGTGTGCATTCACCTCACAGAGCTGAACCGATCCTTTGAGTGACCAGTTTTGAATCTCTCTTTTTATACAATCTGCAAGTGGATATTTGGAGCCCTTTGCGGCCTATGGTGGAAAAGGAAATATCTTCAAATAAAAACTACACAGAAGAAACTTCTTTGTTATGTGAGCATTCAACTCACAGAGTTGAACCTATCTTTTGATTGAGCAGTTTTGAATCTCTCATTTTGCAGAATCTGCAAGGGGATATTTGGAGCCCTTTGCGGCCTATGGTGGAAAAGGAAATACCTTCAAATGAAAAGCACACAGAGGCATTCTGAGAAACTTCCTCGTGATTGTGCATTCAACTCACAGAGTTAAACCTATCTTATGATTGACCAGTTTTGGAACACTCTTTTCATAGGATCTGCAAGTGGATATTTGGCGTGCTTTGAGGCCTATCGTGGAAAAGAGCATTCTGAGAAACTTCTTTGTGATGTGTGCATTGATCTCACAGAGTTGAAAGTGTATTTTGATTGAGCAGTTTTGAAACACTCTTTTTGTAGAATCTGCAAGTGGATAATTGGGGAGATTTGAGGTATATTGTGGAAAAGCAAGTATCTTCATATAAAAACTATACAGAAGCTTTCTGAGAAACATCTTTGTGAGGTTTGCATTCAACTCACAGAGCTGGAACTATCTTTTGAGTGACCAGTTTTGAATCTCTCTTTTTGTACAATCTGCAAGTGGATATTTGGAGCGTTTTGAGGCCTACATTTGAAAATCAAATATCTTCCCTTAAAAGCTACACAGAAACATTCTCAGAAATTGTTTGTCATGTGTGCTTTCAAATTACCAAGTTGAACCTACCTTGTGATTGAGCAGTTTTGAATCTCTCTTTTTGTGGAATCTGCAAGTGGATATTTTTAGCCATTTGCGGACTGTGGTGGAAAAGGAATTATCTTCAAATCCATTCTACACAGAAGCATTCAGACAAACTTTTTGTGATGAGTGCATTGGTCACACAGAATTGAACCTCTCCTTTGATTGAGCAATTCTGAAACACTCTTTCAGAGGGTCTGCAAGTGGATATTTTAGAGCTTTGGGACAATTGTGGAAAAGTAAATATCTTCACATAGAAACTACACGGAAGCATTCTGAGAAACTTCTTTGGAGGTGTGCATTCAACTCACAGAGTTGAACCTATCTTTTCATTGAGCAGTTTTGAATCTCTCTTTTTGTAGACTCTGCTTGCAGATACTTGGAGAGCTTTGAGGCCTATTGTGGAAAAGGAATCATCTTCACATAAAAACACACAGAAGCACTCTGAGAAACTTCTTTGTGAAGTGTGCATTCAACTCACAGAGTTGAACCTATCTTTTGATTGAGAAGCTTTGAATCTCTCTTTTTGTAGAAGCTGCATGTGGATATTTGGAGACGTTTGTGGCCTATGGTAGAAAAGGCAATATCTTCAAATAAAAACTAGACAGAAGCATTTTGAGAAATTTCTCTGTGCTGTGTGCATTCATATCACATGGTTGAAACTACCTTTTGGTTGAGCAGTTTTGAATCTCTCTTTTTGTAACATCTGCAATGGATATTTGGAGCCCTTTGTGGTCTGTGGTGGAAAAGGAACTATCCTCAAATAAAAACTACACAGAAGTATTCCGAGAAACTTCCTTGTGATGTGTGCATTCATCTCACAGGGTTGAACCTTTGGTTTGATTGAGCAGTTTTGAGACAATCTTTCCATAGAATCTGGAAGTGAATATTTGGAGAACCTTGAGATCTATTTTGGAGAAGGAGATATCTTTATATGAAAACTGCACAGAAGCATTCTGAGAAACATCTTTGTGAGGTGTGCAATGAAGTCACAGAGTTGAAACTATGTTTTGATTCAGCAGTTTTGAGTCTCTCTTTTTGCAGAATCTGCGAGTGGATATCTGGAGAACTTGGAGGCCTATTTGGAAAAGGAAATATCTTCACATATAAACTATGCAGAAGCATTTTGAGATTCTTCTTTGTGAGGTGTGCATGCAACTCACAGAGTTGAACTTATCTTTTCCTTGAGCACTTTCATATCTCATTTTCTGTAGAATCTGCAAGTGGATATTTGGAGCTCTTTGCACCCTGTGGTGGAAAGGGAACTATCTTCATATAAAAACTACAAAGAAGCATTCAGAGAAACTTCTTGTGATGAATGCATTCCTCACACAGAGCTGAACCTTTCTTTTTATGGAGCAGTATTGAAACGCTCTTTTTGCAGAATCACCAAGTGGATATTTGGAGAGCTTTGGGGCCTGTTTTGGAAAATGAAATATCTTCAAAGTAAAACTACACAGAACCATTCTGAGAAACTTCTTTATGATGTGTGCATTCAACTCTCAGAGTTGAACCTACCTTATGATTGAGCAATTTGGAAACACTCTTTTTGTAGAGCCTGCAAGTGGATATTTAGAACGATTTGAGGCCTATTGTGGAAAAGCAAATATCTTCACATAAAAACTACACAGAAGCATTCTGAGAAACTTCTTTGGCATGTGTGCATTCAACTAACAGTGTTGAACGTATCTTTTGATTGAGCAGCTTAGAATCTCTCTTTTTGTAGAAAATGCAAGTAGATATTTGGAGCCCCATTTTGCCCTATGGTAGAAAACAAAACATCTTCACATAAAATCTACACAGAAGCATTCTGAGAAACTTCTTTGTGATGTTTGCATTGAACTCCCAGAGTCGAACCTATCTTTTGATAGAGCACTTTTGTATCTCTCTTTTTGCGGAATCTGCAAGTGGATATTTGGAAAGCTTGAGGCCTATTGTGAAAAAGGAAATATCTTCACATAAAAACTACAGAGAAGCATTCTGAGAAACTTCTTTGTGAGGCATGGATTCAACCCACAGAGTTGGACTTGTCATTGAGCAGTTTTGAATCTCTCTTTTTGTCGAATCTGCAAGTGGATATTTGGAGCCCTTTGCAACCTAGGGTGGAAAAGGAAATACCTTCAAATAAAAACTATATAGAAGCATTCCGTAAAACTTCTTTGTGACGTGTGCATTCGTCTCACAGAGTTGAACCTATCTAATGATTGAGCGGTTTTGAAACACTCATTTTGTAGAACCTGCAAGTGGATATTGGGAGTACTTTGTGGCCTTCTTTGGAAAAGGGAATATCTTCACATAAAAATTACAAAGAAGCATTCTGAGAAACTTCTTTGTGATGTGTGCATTCATCTCACAGTGTTGGACGTTTCTTTTGATAGGGCAGTTTTGAAACACTCTTTTTCTAGAATCTGCAAGTGGATATTTAGAGCGCTTTGAGGCCTAATGTGGAAAATCAAATATCTTCACATAAAAACTACACAGAGGCATTCTGAGAAACTTCTTTTTTGTGTGTGCATTCAACTCACATAGTTGAAGTAATCTTTGGATTTAGCTGTTTTGAATCTCCTTTTTGCAGAATCTGCAAGTTGATACTTGGAGCCCTGTTTCACCCTATAGTGGAAAAGCAAATATCTTCACATAAACAAACCCTACAGAGAAGCATTCAGAGAAAGTCCTTTGTGATGTGTGCATTGAACATGCAGAGTTGACACTATCTTTTGATTGTACAGTTTTGAATACGTCTTTTTGTAGAATCTGCAAGTGGAAGTTTGGAGCTGTTTGCACCCTGTGGTGTAAAAGGAAATATCTTCATATAAAAGCTACACAGAAGCATTCAGAAAGACTTCTTTGTGATGAATGCGTTCCTCACACAGAGTTGAATCTTCCTTTTTATTGAGTAGTATTGAAACCCTCTTTTTGCAGAATAACCAGGTGGATATTCGGAGAGCTTTGAGGCCTGTTTTGGAAAAGGAAATATCTTCAAATTAAAACCACACAGAAGCATTCTGAGAAGCTTCTTTGTGATGTGTGCATTCAACTCTCAGAGTTCAACGTGTCTTATGATGGAGCAGTTTGGAAACACTCTTTTTGTAGAAACTGCAAGTGGATATGTAGAGCGATTTGAGGCCTACTGTGGAAAAGCAAATATCTTCACATAACAACTACACAGAAGCACTCCTAGAAACTTCTTTGTGATGTGTGAATTCAACTCACAGAGCTGAACCTATCTTTTGATGGAGTAGCTTAGAATCTCTCTTTTTTTAGAATCTGCACGTGGATATTTGGAGCGCTTTGAGACCTAAAGTGGAAAAGCAAATATCTTCACATAAAATCTACATAGAGGCACTCTAAGAAACTTCTTTTTGATGTGTGCATTCACCTCACAGAGCTGAACCGATCCTTCGAGTGACCAGTTTTGAATCTCTCTTTTTATACAATCTGCAAGTGGATATTTGGAGCCCTTTGCGGCCTATGGTGGAAAAGGAAATATCTTCAAATAAAAACTACACAGAAGAAACTTCTTTGTTATGTGAGCATTCAACTCACAGAGTTGAACCTATCTTTTGATTGAGCAGTTTTGAATCTCTCATTTTGCAGAATCTGCAAGGGGATATTTGGAGCCCTTTGCGGCCTATGGTGGAAAAGGAAATACCTTCAAATGAAAAGCACACAGAGGCATTCTGAGAAACTTCCTCGTGATTGTGCATTCAACTCACAGAGTTAAACCTATCTTATGATTGACCAGTTTTGGAACACTCTTTTCATAGGATCTGCAAGTGGATATTTGGCGTGCTTTGAGGCCTATCGTGGAAAAGCAAATAACTTCAGATAAAAACTATACAGAAGCATTCTGAGAAACTTCTTTGTGATGTGTGCATTGATCTCACAGAGTTGAAAGTGTATTTTGATTGAGCAGTTTTGAAACACTCTTTTTGTAGAATCTGCAAGTGGATAATTGGGGGAGATTTGAGGTATATTGTGGAAAAGCAAGTATCTTCATATAAAAACTATACAGAAGCTTTCTGAGAAACATCTTTGTGAGGTTTGCATTCAACTCACAGAGCTGGAACTATCTTTTGAGTGACCAGTTTTGAATCTCTCTTTTTGTACAATCTGCAAGTGGATATTTGGAGCGTTTTGAGGCCTACATTTGAAAATCAAATATCTTCCCTTAAAAGCTACACAGAAACATTCTCAGAAATTGTTTGTCATGTGTGCTTTCAAATTACCAAGTTGAACCTACCTTGTGATTGAGCAGTTTTGAATCTCTCTTTTTGTGGAATCTGCAAGTGGATATTTTTAGCCATTTGCGGACTGTGGTGGAAAAGGAATTATCTTCAAATCCATTCTACACAGAAGCATTCAGACAAACTTTTTGTGATGAGTGCATTGGTCACACAGAATTGAACCTCTCCTTTGATTGAGCAATTCTGAAACACTCTTTCAGAGGGTCTGCAAGTGGATATTTTAGAGCTTTGGGACAATTGTGGAAAAGTAAATATCTTCACATAGAAACTACACGGAAGCATTCTGAGAAACTTCTTTGGAGGTGTGCATTCAACTCACAGAGTTGAACCTATCTTTTCATTGAGCAGTTTTGAATCTCTCTTTTTGTAGACTCTGCTTGCAGATACTTGGAGAGCTTTGAGGCCTATTGTGGAAAAGGAATCATCTTCACATAAAAACACACAGAAGCACTCTGAGAAACTTCTTTGTGACGTGTGCATTCAACTCACAGAGTTGAACCTATCTTTTGATTGAGAAGCTTTGAATCTCTCTTTTTGTAGAAGCTGCATGTGGATATTTGGAGACGTTTGTGGCCTATGGTAGAAAAGGCAATATCTTCAAATAAAAACTAGACAGAAGCATTTTGAGAAATTTCTCTGTGCTGTGTGCATTCATATCACATGGTTGAAACTACCTTTTGGTTGAGCAGTTTTGAATCTCTCTTTTTGTAACATCTGCAATGGATATTTGGAGCCCTTTGTGGTCTGTGGTGGAAAAGGAACTATCCTCAAATAAAAACTACACAGAAGTATTCCGAGAAACTTCCTTGTGATGTGTGCATTCATCTCACAGGGTTGAACCTTTGGTTTGATCGAGCAGTTTTGAGACAATCTTTCCATAGAATCTGGAAGTGAATATTTGGAGAACCTTGAGATCTATTTTGGAGAAGGAGATATCTTTATATGAAAACTGCACAGAAGCATTCTGAGAAACATCTTTGTGAGGTGTGCAATGAAGTCACAGAGTTGAAACTATGTTTTGATTCAGCAGTTTTGAGTCTCTCTTTTTGCAGAATCTGCGAGTGGATATCTGGAGAACTTGGAGGCCTATTTGGAAAAGGAAATATCTTCACATATAAACTATGCAGAAGCATTTTGAGATTCTTCTTTGTGAGGTGTGCATGCAACTCACAGAGTTGAACTTATCTTTTCCTTGAGCACTTTCATATCTCATTTTCTGTAGAATCTGCAAGTGGATATTTGGAGCTCTTTGCACCCTGTGGTGGAAAGGGAACTATCTTCATATAAAAACTACAAAGAAGCATTCAGAGAAACTTCTTGTGATGAATGCATTCCTCACACAGAGCTGAACCTTTCTTTTTATGGAGCAGTATTGAAACGCTCTTTTTGCAGAATCACCAAGTGGATATTTGGAGAGCTTTGGGGCCTGTTTTGGAAAATGAAATATCTTCAAAGTAAAACTACACAGAACCATTCTGAGAAACTTCTTTATGATGTGTGCATTCAACTCTCAGAGTTGAACCTACCTTATGATTGAGCAATTTGGAAACACTCTTTTTGTAGAGCCTGCAAGTGGATATTTAGAACGATTTGAGGCCTATTGTGGAAAAGCAAATATCTTCACATAAAAACTACACAGAAGCATTCTGAGAAACTTCTTTGGCATGTGTGCATTCAACTAACAGTGTTGAACGTATCTTTTGATTGAGCAGCTTAGAATCTCTCTTTTTGTAGAAAATGCAAGTAGATATTTGGAGCCCCATTTTGCCCTATGGTAGAAAACAAAACATCTTCACATAAAATCTACACAGAAGCATTCTGAGAAACTTCTTTGTGATGTTTGCATTGAACTCCCAGAGTCGAACCTATCTTTTGATAGAGCACTTTTGTATCTCTCTTTTTGCGGAATCTGCAAGTGGATATTTGGAAAGCTTGAGGCCTATTGTGAAAAAGGAAATATCTTCACATAAAAACTACAGAGAAGCATTCTGAGAAACTTCTTTGTGAGGCATGGATTCAACCCACAGAGTTGGACTTATCATTGAGCAGTTTTGAATCTCTCTTTTTGTCGAATCTGCAAGTGGATATTTGGAGCCCTTTGCAACCTAGGGTGGAAAAGGAAATACCTTCAAATAAAAACTATATAGAAGCATTCCGTAAAACTTCTTTGTGATGTGTGCATTCGTCTCACAGAGTTGAACCTATCTAATGATTGAGCGGTTTTGAAACACTCATTTTGTAGAACCTGCAAGTGGATATTGGGAGTACTTTGTGGCCTTCTTTGGAAAAGGGAATATCTTCACATAAAAACTACAAAGAAGCATTCTGAGAAACTTCTTTGTGATGTGTGCATTCATCTCACAGTGTTGGACGTTTCTTTTGATAGGGCAGTTTTGAAACACTCTTTTTCTAGAATCTGCAAGTGGATATTTGGAGCGCTTTGAGGCCTAATGTGGAAAATCAAATATCTTCACATAAAAACTACACAGAAGGCATTCTGAGAAACTTCTTTTTTGTGTGTGCATTCAACTCACATAGTTGAAGTAATCTTTGGATTTAGCTGTTTTGAATCTCCTTTTTGCAGAATCTGCAAGTTGATACTTGGAGCCCTGTTTTACCCTATAGTGGAAAAGCAAATATCTTCACATAAACAAACCCTACAGAGAAGCATTCAGAGAAAGTCCTTTGTGATGTGTGCATTGAACATGCAGAGTTGACACTATCTTTTGATTGTACAGTTTTGAATACGTCTTTTTGTAGAATCTGCAAGTGGAAGTTTGGAGCTGTTTGCACCCTGTGGTGTAAAAGGAAATATCTTCATATAAAAGCTACACAGAAGCATTCAGAAAGACTTCTTTGTGATGAATGCGTTCCTCACACAGAGTTGAATCTTCCTTTTTATTGAGTAGTATTGAAACCCTCTTTTTGCAGAATAACCAGGTGGATATTTGGAGAGCTTTGAGGCCTGTTTTGGAAAAGGAAATATCTTCAAATTAAAACCACACAGAAGCATTCTGAGAAGCTTCTTTGTGATGTGTGCATTCAACTCTCAGAGTTCAACGTGTCTTATGATGGAGCAGTTTGGAAACACTCTTTTTTGTAGAAACTGCAAGTGGATATGTAGAGCGATTTGAGGCCTACTGTGGAAAAGCAAATATCTTCACATAACAACTACACAGAAGCACTCCTAGAAACTTCTTTGTGATGTGTGAATTCAACTCACAGAGCTGAACCTATCTTTTGATGGAGTAGCTTAGAATCTCTCTTTTTTTAGAATCTGCACGTGGATATTTGGAGCGCTTTGAGACCTAAAGTGGAAAAGCAAATATCTTCACATAAAATCTACATAGAGGCACTCTAAGAAACTTCTTTTTGATGTGTGCATTCACCTCACAGAGCTGAACCGATCCTTCGAGTGACCAGTTTTGAATCTCTCTTTTTATACAATCTGCAAGTGGATATTTGGAGCCCTTTGCGGCCTATGGTGGAAAAGGAAATATCTTCAAATAAAAACTACACAGAAGAAACTTCTTTGTTATGTGAGCATTCAACTCACAGAGTTGAACCTATCTTTTGATTGAGCAGTTTTGAATCTCTCATTTTGCAGAATCTGCAAGGGGATATTTGGAGCCCTTTGCGGCCTATGGTGGAAAAGGAAATACCTTCAAATGAAAAGCACACAGAGGCATTCTGAGAAACTTCCTCGTGATTGTGCATTCAACTCACAGAGTTAAACCTATCTTATGATTGACCAGTTTTGGAACACTCTTTTCATAGGATCTGCAAGTGGATATTTGGCGTGCTTTGAGGCCTATCGTGGAAAAGAGCATTCTGAGAAACTTCTTTGTGATGTGTGCATTGATCTCACAGAGTTGAAAGTGTATTTTGATTGAGCAGTTTTAAAACACTCCTTCTGTAGAATCTGCAAGTGGATAATTGGAGAGATTTGAGGTATGTTGTGGAAAAGCAAATATCTTCATATAAAAACTATACAGAAGCCTTCTGAGAAACATCTTTGTGAGGTTTGCATTCAACTCACAGAGCTGGACCTATCTCTTGAGTGACCAGTTTTGAATCTCTCTTTTTGTTCAATCTGCAAGTGGATATTTGGAGCGATTTGAGGCCTACATTTGAAAATCAAATATCTTCCCTTAAAAACTACACAGAAACATTCTCAGAAATTGTTTGTCATGTGGGCTTTCAAATTACCAAGTTGAACCTATCTTGTGATTGAGCAGTTCTGAATCTCTCTTTTTGTGGAATCTGCAAATGGATATTTTTAGCCCTTTGCGGACTGTGGTGGAAAAGGAATTATCTTCAAATCCATTCTACACAGAAGCATTCAGACAAACTTCTTGGTGATGAGTGCATTGGTCACACAGAATTGAACCTCTCCTTTGATTGAGCAATTCTGAAACACTCTTTCAGAGGGTCTGCAAGTGGATATTTTAGAGCTTTGGGACAATTGTGGAAAAGTAAATATCTTCACATAGAAACTACACGGAAGCATTCTGAGAAACTTCTTTGGAGGTGTGCATTCAACTCACAGAGTTGAACCTATCTTTTCATTGAGCAGTTTTGAATCTCTCTTTTTGTAGACTCTGCTTGCAGATATTTGGAGAGCTTTGAGGCCTATTGTGGAAAAGGGAATATGTTCACATAAAAACACACAGAAGCACTCTGAGAAACTTCTTTGTGAGGTGTGCATTCAACTCACAGAGTTGAACCTATCTTTTGATGGAGAAGTTTTGAATCTCTCTTTTTGTAGAAGCTGCATGTGGATATTTGGAGACGTTTGTGGCCTATGGTAGAAAAGGATATATCTTCAAATAAAAACTAGACAGAAGCATTTTGAGAAAATTCTCTGTGCTGTGTGCATTCATATCACATGGTTGAAACTACCTTTTGATTGAGCAGTTTCGAGTCTCTCTGTTTGTACCATCTGCAATGGATATTTGGAGCCCTTTGTGGTCTGTGGTGGAAAAGGAACTATCCTCAAATAAAAACTACACGGGAAGTATTCCGAGAAACTTCCTTGTGATGTGTGCATTCATCTCACAGGGTTGAACCTTTGGTTTGATTGAGCAGTTTTGAGACAATCTTTCCATAGAATCTGGAAGTGAATATTTGGAGAACCTTGAGATCTATTTTGGAGAAGGAGATATCTTTATATGAAAACTGCACAGAAGCATTCTGAGAAACATCTTTGTGAGGTGTGCAATGAAGTCACAGAGTTGAAACTATGTTTTGATTCAGCAGTTTTGAGTCTCTCTTTTTGCAGAATCTGCGAGTGGATATCTGGAGAACTTGGAGGCCTATTTGGAAAAGGAAATATCTTCACATATAAACTATGCAGAAGCATTTTGAGATTCTTCTTTGTGAGGTGTGCATGCAACTCACAGAGTTGAACTTATCTTTTCCTTGAGCACTTTCATATCTCATTTTCTGTAGAATCTGCAAGTGGATATTTGGAGCTCTTTGCACCCTGTGGTGGAAAGGGAACTATCTTCATATAAAAACTACAAAGAAGCATTCAGAGAAACTTCTTGTGATGAATGCATTCCTCACACAGAGCTGAACCTTTCTTTTTATGGAGCAGTATTGAAACGCTCTTTTTGCAGAATCACCAAGTGGATATTTGGAGAGCTTTGGGGCCTGTTTTGGAAAATGAAATATCTTCAAAGTAAAACTACACAGAACCATTCTGAGAAACTTCTTTATGATGTGTGCATTCAACTCTCAGAGTTGAACCTACCTTATGATTGAGCAATTTGGAAACACTCTTTTTGTAGAGCCTGCAAGTGGATATTTAGAACGATTTGAGGCCTATTGTGGAAAAGCAAATATCTTCACATAAAAACTACACAGAAGCATTCTGAGAAACTTCTTTGGCATGTGTGCATTCAACTAACAGTGTTGAACGTATCTTTTGATTGAGCAGCTTAGAATCTCTCTTTTTGTAGAAAATGCAAGTAGATATTTGGAGCCCCATTTTGCCCTATGGTAGAAAACAAAACATCTTCACATAAAATCTACACAGAAGCATTCTGAGAAACTTCTTTGTGATGTTTGCATTGAACTCCCAGAGTCGAACCTATCTTTTGATAGAGCACTTTTGTATCTCTCTTTTTGCGGAATCTGCAAGTGGATATTTGGAAAGCTTGAGGCCTATTGTGAAAAAGGAAATATCTTCACATAAAAACTACAGAGAAGCATTCTGAGAAACTTCTTTGTGAGGCATGGATTCAACCCACAGAGTTGGACTTATCATTGAGCAGTTTTGAATCTCTCTTTTTGTCGAATCTGCAAGTGGATATTTGGAGCCCTTTGTAACCTAGGGTGGAAAAGGAAATACCTTCAAATAAAAACTATATAGAAGCATTCCGTAAAACTTCTTTGTGACGTGTGCATTCGTCTCACAGAGTTGAACCTATCTAATGATTGAGCGGTTTTGAAACACTCATTTTGTAGAACCTGCAAGTGGATATTGGGAGTACTTTGTGGCCTTCTTTGGAAAAGGGAATATCTTCACATAAAAACTACAAAGAAGCATTCTGAGAAACTTCTTTGTGATGTGTGCATTCATCTCACAGTGTTGGACGTTTCTTTTGATAGGGCAGTTTTGAAACACTCTTTTTCTAGAATCTGCAAGTGGATATTTGGAGCGCTTTGAGGCCTAATGTGGAAAATCAAATATCTTCACATAAAAACTACACAGAGGCATTCTGAGAAACTTCTTTTTTGTGTGTGCATTCAACTCACATAGTTGAAGTAATCTTTGGATTTAGCTGTTTTGAATCTCCTTTTTGCAGAATCTGCAAGTTGATACTTGGAGCCCTGTTTCACCCTATAGTGGAAAAGCAAATATCTTCACATAAACAAACCCTACAGAGAAGCATTCAGAGAAAGTCCTTTGTGATGTGTGCATTGAACATGCAGAGTTGACACTATCTTTTGATTGTACAGTTTTGAATACGTCTTTTTGTAGAATCTGCAAGTGGAAGTTTGGAGCTGTTTGCACCCTGTGGTGTAAAAGGAAATATCTTCATATAAAAGCTACACAGAAGCATTCAGAAAGACTTCTTTGTGATGAATGCGTTCCTCACACAGAGTTGAATCTTCCTTTTTATTGAGTAGTATTGAAACCCTCTTTTTGCAGAATAACCAGGTGGATATTTGGAGAGCTTTGAGGCCTGTTTTGGAAAAGGAAATATCTTCAAATTAAAACCACACAGAAGCATTCTGAGAAGCTTCTTTGTGATGTGTGCATTCAACTCTCAGAGTTCAACGTGTCTTATGATGGAGCAGTTTGGAAACACTCTTTTTTGTAGAAACTGCAAGTGGATATGTAGAGCGATTTGAGGCCTACTGTGGAAAAGCAAATATCTTCACATAACAACTACACAGAAGCACTCCTAGAAACTTCTTTGTGATGTGTGAATTCAACTCACAGAGCTGAACCTATCTTTTGATGGAGTAGCTTAGAATCTCTCTTTTTTTAGAATCTGCACGTGGATATTTGGAGCGCTTTGAGACCTAAAGTGGAAAAGCAAATATCTTCACATAAAATCTACATAGAGGCACTCTAAGAAACTTCTTTTTGATGTGTGCATTCACCTCACAGAGCTGAACCGATCCTTCGAGTGACCAGTTTTGAATCTCTCTTTTTATACAATCTGCAAGTGGATATTTGGAGCCCTTTGCGGCCTATGGTGGAAAAGGAAATATCTTCAAATAAAAACTACACAGAAGAAACTTCTTTGTTATGTGAGCATTCAACTCACAGAGTTGAACCTATCTTTTGATTGAGCAGTTTTGAATCTCTCATTTTGCAGAATCTGCAAGGGGATATTTGGAGCCCTTTGCGGCCTATGGTGGAAAAGGAAATACCTTCAAATGAAAAGCACACAGAGGCATTCTGAGAAACTTCCTCGTGATTGTGCATTCAACTCACAGAGTTAAACCTATCTTATGATTGACCAGTTTTGGAACACTCTTTTCATAGGATCTGCAAGTGGATATTTGGCGTGCTTTGAGGCCTATCGTGGAAAAGCAAATAACTTCAGATAAAAACTATACAGAAGCATTCTGAGAAACTTCTTTGTGATGTGTGCATTGATCTCACAGAGTTGAAAGTGTATTTTGATTGAGCAGTTTTGAAACACTCTTTTTGTAGAATCTGCAAGTGGATAATTGGGGAGATTTGAGGTATATTGTGGAAAAGCAAGTATCTTCATATAAAAACTATACAGAAGCTTTCTGAGAAACATCTTTGTGAGGTTTGCATTCAACTCACAGAGCTGGAACTATCTTTTGAGTGACCAGTTTTGAATCTCTCTTTTTGTACAATCTGCAAGTGGATATTTGGAGCGTTTTGAGGCCTACATTTGAAAATCAAATATCTTCCCTTAAAAGCTACACAGAAACATTCTCAGAAATTGTTTGTCATGTGTGCTTTCAAATTACCAAGTTGAACCTACCTTGTGATTGAGCAGTTTTGAATCTCTCTTTTTGTGGAATCTGCAAGTGGATATTTTTAGCCATTTGCGGACTGTGGTGGAAAAGGAATTATACTTCAAATCCATTCTACACAGAAGCATTCAGACAAACTTTTTGTGATGAGTGCATTGGTCACACAGAATTGAACCTCTCCTTTGATTGAGCAATTCTGAAACACTCTTTCAGAGGGTCTGCAAGTGGATATTTTAGAGCTTTGGGACAATTGTGGAAAAGTAAATATCTTCACATAGAAACTACACGGAAGCATTCTGAGAAACTTCTTTGGAGGTGTGCATTCAACTCACAGAGTTGAACCTATCTTTTCATTGAGCAGTTTTGAATCTCTCTTTTTGTAGACTCTGCTTGCAGATATTTGGAGAGCTTTGAGGCCTATTGTGGAAAAGGGATCATCTTCACATAAAAACACACAGAAGCACTCTGAGAAACTTCTTTGTGAAGTGTGCATTCAACTCACAGAGTTGAACCTATCTTTTGATTGAGAAGCTTTGAATCTCTCTTTTTGTAGAAGCTGCATGTGGATATTTGGAGACGTTTGTGGCCTATGGTAGAAAAGGCAATATCTTCAAATAAAAACTAGACAGAAGCATTTTGAGAAATTTCTCTGTGCTGTGTGCATTCATATCACATGGTTGAAACTACCTTTTGATTGAGCAGTTTTGAATCTCTCTTTTTGTACCATCTGCAATGGATATTTGGAGCCCTTTGTGGTCTGTGGTGGAAAAGGAACTATCCTCAAATAAAAACTACACAGAAGTATTCCGAGAAACTTCCTTGTGATGTGTGCATTCATCTCATAGGGTTGAACCTTTGGTTTGATTGAGCAGTTTTGAGACAATCTTTCCATAGAATCTGGAAGTGAATATTTGGAGAACCTTGAGATCTATTTTGGAGAAGGAGATATCTTTATATAAAAACTGCACAGAAAGCATTCTGAGAAACATCTTTGTGAGGTGTGCAATGAAGTCACAGAGTTGAAACTATGTTTTGATTCAGCAGTTTTGAGTCTCTCTTTTTGCAGAATCTGCGAGTGGATATCTGGAGAACTTGGAGGCCTATTTGGAAAAGGAAATATCTTCACATATAAACTATGCAGAAGCATTTTGAGATTCTTCTTTGTGAGGTGTGCATGCAACTCACAGAGTTGAACTTATCTTTTCCTTGAGCACTTTCGTATCTCATTTTCTGTAGAATCTGCAAGTGGATATTTGGAGCTCTTTGCACCCTGTGGTGGAAAGGGAACTATCTTCATATAAAAACTACAAAGAAGCATTCAGAGAAACTTCTTTGTGATGAATGCATTCCTCACACAGAGCTGAACGTTTCTTTTTATTGAGCAGTATTGAAACGCTCTTTTTGCAGAATCACCAAGTGGATATTTGGAGAGCTTTGGGGCCTGTTTTGGAAAATGAAATATCTTCAAAGTAAAACTACACAGAACCATTCTGAGAAACTTCTTTATGATGTGTGCATTCAACTCTCAGAGTTGAACCTACCTTATGATTGACCAATTTGGAAACACTCTTTTTGTAGAGCCTGCAAGTGGATATTTAGAACGATTTGAGGCCTATTGTGGAAAAGCAAATATCTTCACATAAAAACTACACAGAAGCATTCTGAGAAACTTCTTTGGCATGTGTGCATTCAACTAACAGTGTTGAACGTATCTTTTGATTGAGCAGCTTAGAATCTCTCTTTTTGTAGAAAATGCAAGTAGATATTTGGAGCCCCATTTTGCCCTATGGTAGAAAACAGAACATCTTCACATAAAAACTACACAGAAGCATTCTGAGAAACTTCTTTGTGATGTTTGCATTGAACTCCCAGAGTCGAACCTATCTTTTGATAGAGCACTTTTGTATCTCTCTTTTTGCGGAATCTGCAAGTGGATATTTGGAAAGCTTGAGGCCTATTGTGAAAAAGGAAATATCTTCACATAAAAACTACAGAGAAGCATTCTGAGAAACTTCTTTGTGAGGCATGGATTCAACCCACAGAGTTGGACTTATCATTGAGCAGTTTTGAATGTCTCTTTTTGTCGAATCTGCAAGTGGATATTTGGAGCCCTTGGCAACCTAGGGTGGAAAAGGAAATACCTTCAAATAAAAACTATATAGAAGCATTCCGTAAAACTTCTTTGTGACGTGTGCATTCGTCTCACAGAGTTGAACCTATCTAATGATTGAGCGGTTTTGAAACACTCATTTTGTAGAACCTGCAAGTGGATATTGGGAGTACTTTGTGGCCTTCTTTGGAAAAGGGAATATCTTCACATAAAAATTACAAAGAAGCATTCTGAGAAACTTCTTTGTGATGTGTGCATTCATCTCACAGTGTTGGACGTTTCTTTTGATAGGGCAGTTTTGAAACACTCTTTTTCTAGAATCTGCAAGTGGATATTTAGAGCGCTTTGAGGCCTAATGTGGAAAATCAAATATCTTCACATAAAAACTACACAGAGGCATTCTGAGAAACTTCTTTTTTGTGTGTGCATTCAACTCACATAGTTGAAGTAATCTTTGGATTTAGCTGTTTTGAATCTCCTTTTTGCAGAATCTGCAAGTTGATACTTGGAGCCCTGTTTCACCCTATAGTGGAAAAGCAAATATCTTCACATAAACAAACCCTACAGAGAAGCATTCAGAGAAAGTCCTTTGTGATGTGTGCATTGAACATGCAGAGTTGACACTATCTTTTGATTGTACAGTTTTGAATACGTCTTTTTGTAGAATCTGCAAGTGGAAGTTTGGAGCTGTTTGCACCCTGTGGTGTAAAAGGAAATATCTTCATATAAAAGCTACACAGAAGCATTCAGAAAGACTTCTTTGTGATGAATGCGTTCCTCACACAGAGTTGAATCTTCCTTTTTATTGAGTAGTATTGAAACCCTCTTTTTGCAGAATAACCAGGTGGATATTCGGAGAGCTTTGAGGCCTGTTTTGGAAAAGGAAATATCTTCAAATTAAAACCACACAGAAGCATTCTGAGAAGCTTCTTTGTGATGTGTGCATTCAACTCTCAGAGTTGAACGTGTCTTATGATGGAGCAGTTTGGAAACACTCTTTTTGTAGAAACTGCAAGTGGATATGTAGAGCGATTTGAGGCCTACTGTGGAAAAGCAAATATCTTCACATAACAACTACACAGAAGCACTCCTAGAAACTTCTTTGTGATGTGTGAATTCAACTCACAGAGCTGAACCTATCTTTTGATGGAGTAGCTTAGAATCTCTCTTTTTTTAGAATCTGCACGTGGATATTTGGAGCGCTTTGAGACCTAAAGTGGAAAAGCAAATATCTTCACATAAAATCTACATAGAGGCACTCTAAGAAACTTCTTTTTGATGTGTGCATTCACCTCACAGAGCTGAACCGATCCTTTGAGTGACCAGTTTTGAATCTCTCTTTTTATACAATCTGCAAGTGGATATTTGGAGCCCTTTGCGGCCTATGGTGGAAAAGGAAATATCTTCAAATAAAAACTACACAGAAATACTGTGAGAAACTTCTTTGTTATGTGAGCATTCAACTCACAGAGTTGAACCTATCTTTTGATTGAGCAGTTTTGAATCTCTCATTTTGCAGAATCTGCAAGGGGATATTTGGAGCCCTTTGCGGCCTATGGTGGAAAAGGAAATACCTTCAAATGAAAAGCACACAGAGGCATTCTGAGAAACTTCCTCGTGATTGTGCATTCAACTCACAGAGTTAAACCTATCTTATGATTGACCAGTTTTGGAACACTCTTTTCATAGGATCTGCAAGTGGATATTTGGCGTGCTTTGAGGCCTATCGTGGAAAAGCAAACTATACAGAAGCATTCTGAGAAACTTCTTTGTGATGTGTGCATTGATCTCACAGAGTTGAAAGTGTATTTTGATTGAGCAGTTTTGAAACACTCTTTTTGTAGAATCTGCAAGTGGATAATTGGGGGAGATTTGAGGTATATTGTGGAAAAGCAAGTATCTTCATATAAAAACTATACAGAAGCTTTCTGAGAAACATCTTTGTGAGGTTTGCATTCAACTCACAGAGCTGGAACTATCTTTTGAGTGACCAGTTTTGAATCTCTCTTTTTGTACAATCTGCAAGTGGATATTTGGAGCGTTTTGAGGCCTACATTTGAAAATCAAATATCTTCCCTTAAAAGCTACACAGAAACATTCTCAGAAATTGTTTGTCATGTGTGCTTTCAAATTACCAAGTTGAACCTACCTTGTGATTGAGCAGTTTTGAATCTCTCTTTTTGTGGAATCTGCAAGTGGATATTTTTAGCCATTTGCGGACTGTGGTGGAAAAGGAATTATCTTCAAATCCATTCTACACAGAAGCATTCAGACAAACTTTTTGTGATGAGTGCATTGGTCACACAGAATTGAACCTCTCCTTTGATTGAGCAATTCTGAAACACTCTTTCAGAGGGTCTGCAAGTGGATATTTTAGAGCTTTGGGACAATTGTGGAAAAGTAAATATCTTCACATAAAAACTACACGGAAGCATTCTGAGAAACTTCTTTGGAGGTGTGCATTCAACTCACAGAGTTGAACCTATCTTTTCATTGAGCAGTTTTGAATCTCTCTTTTTGTAGACTCTGCTTGCAGATATTTGGAGAGCTTTGAGGCCTATTGTGGAAAAGGGATCATCTTCACATAAAAACACACAGAAGCACTCTGAGAAACTTCTTTGTGAAGTGTGCATTCAACTCACAGAGTTGAACCTATCTTTTGATTGAGAAGCTTTGAATCTCTCTTTTTGTAGAAGCTGCATGTGGATATTTGGAGACGTTTGTGGCCTATGGTAGAAAAGGCAATATCTTCAAATAAAAACTAGACAGAAGCATTTTGAGAAATTTCTCTGTGCTGTGTGCATTCATATCACATGGTTGAAACTACCTTTTGATTGAGCAGTTTTGAATCTCTCTTTTTGTACCATCTGCAATGGATATTTGGAGCCCTTTGTGGTCTGTGGTGGAAAAGGAACTATCCTCAAATAAAAACTACACAGAAGTATTCCGAGAAACTTCCTTGTGATGTGTGCATTCATCTCATAGGGTTGAACCTTTGGTTTGATTGAGCAGTTTTGAGACAATCTTTCCATAGAATCTGGAAGTGAATATTTGGAGAACCTTGAGATCTATTTTGGAGAAGGAGATATCTTTATATAAAAACTGCACAGAAGCATTCTGAGAAACATCTTTGTGAGGTGTGCAATGAAGTCACAGAGTTGAAACTATGTTTTGATTCAGCAGTTTTGAGTCTCTCTTTTTGCAGAATCTGCGAGTGGATATCTGGAGAACTTGGAGGCCTATTTGGAAAAGGAAATATCTTCACATATAAACTATGCAGAAGCATTTTGAGATTCTTCTTTGTGAGGTGTGCATGCAACTCACAGAGTTGAACTTATCTTTTCCTTGAGCACTTTCGTATCTCATTTTCTGTAGAATCTGCAAGTGGATATTTGGAGCTCTTTGCACCCTGTGGTGGAAAGGGAACTATCTTCATATAAAAACTACAAAGAAGCATTCAGAGAAACTTCTTTGTGATGAATGCATTCCTCACACAGAGCTGAACGTTTCTTTTTATTGAGCAGTATTGAAACGCTCTTTTTGCAGAATCACCAAGTGGATATTTGGAGAGATTTGGGGCCTGTTTTGGAAAATGAAATATCTTCAAAGTAAAACTACACAGAACCATTCTGAGAAACTTCTTTATGATGTGTGCATTCAACTCTCAGAGTTGAACCTACCTTATGATTGACCAATTTGGAAACACTCTTTTTGTAGAGCCTGCAAGTGGATATTTAGAACGATTTGAGGCCTATTGTGGAAAAGCAAATATCTTCACATAAAAACTACACAGAAGCATTCTGAGAAACTTCTTTGGCATGTGTGCATTCAACTAACAGTGTTGAACGTATCTTTTGATTGAGCAGCTTAGAATCTCTCTTTTTGTAGAAAATGCAAGTAGAGATTTGGAGCCCCATTTTGCCCTATGGTAGAAAACAGAACATCTTCACATAAAAACTACACAGAAGCATTCTGAGAAACTTCTTTGTGATGTTTGCATTGAACTCCCAGAGTCGAACCTATCTTTTGATAGAGCACTTTTGTATCTCTCTTTTTGCGGAATCTGCAAGTGGATATTTGGAAAGCTTGAGACCTATTGTGAAAAAGGAAATATCTTCACATAAAAACTACAGAGAAGCATTCTGAGAAACTTCTTTGTGAGGCATGGATTCAACCCACAGAGTTGGACTTATCATTGAGCAGTTTTGAATGTCTCTTTTTGTCGAATCTGCAAGTGGATATTTGGAGCCCTTGGCAACCTAGGGTGGAAAAGGAAATACCTTCAAATAAAAACTATATAGAAGCATTCCGTAAAACTTCTTTGTGACGTGTGCATTCGTCTCACAGAGTTGAACCTATCTAATGATTGAGCGGTTTTGAAACACTCATTTTGTAGAACCTGCAAGTGGATATTGGGAGTACTTTGTGGCCTTCTTTGGAAAAGGGAATATCTTCACATAAAAATTACAAAGAAGCATTCTGAGAAACTTCTTTGTGATGTGTGCATTCATCTCACAGTGTTGGACGTTTCTTTTGATAGGGCAGTTTTGAAACACTCTTTTTCTAGAATCTGCAAGTGGATATTTAGAGCGCTTTGAGGCCTAATGTGGAAAATCAAATATCTTCACATAAAAACTACACAGAGGCATTCTGAGAAACTTCTTTTTTGTGTGTGCATTCAACTCACATAGTTGAAGTAATCTTTGGATTTAGCTGTTTTGAATCTCCTTTTTGCAGAATCTGCAAGTTGATACTTGGAGCCCTGTTTCACCCTATAGTGGAAAAGCAAATGTCTTCACATAAACAAACCCTACAGAGAAGCATTCAGAGAAAGTCCTTTGTGATGTGTGCATTGAACATGCAGAGTTGACACTATCTTTTGATTGTACAGTTTTGAATACGTCTTTTTGTAGAATCTGCAAGTGGAAGTTTGGAGCTGTTTGCACCCTGTGGTGTAAAAGGAAATATCTTCATATAAAAGCTACACAGAAGCATTCAGAAAGACTTCTTTGTGATGAATGCGTTCCTCACACAGAGTTGAATCTTCCTTTTTATTGAGTAGTATTGAAACCCTCTTTTTGCAGAATAACCAGGTGGATATTTGGAGAGCTTTGAGGCCTGTTTTGGAAAAGCAAATATCTTCAAATTAAAACCACACAGAAGCATTCTGAGAAGCTTCTTTGTGATGTGTGCATTCAACTCTCAGAGTTCAACGTGTCTTATGATGGAGCAGTTTGGAAACACTCTTTTTTGTAGAAACTGCAAGTGGATATGTAGAGCGATTTGAGGCCTACTGTGGAAAAGCAAATATCTTCACATAACAACTACACAGAAGCACTCCTAGAAACTTCTTTGTGATGTGTGAATTCAACTCACAGAGCTGAACCTATCTTTTGATGGAGTAGCTTAGAATCTCTCTTTTTTTAGAATCTGCACGTGGATATTTGGAGCGCTTTGAGACCTAAAGTGGAAAAGCAAATATCTTCACATAAAATCTACATAGAGGCACTCTAAGAAACTTCTTTTTGATGTGTGCATTCACCTCACAGAGCTGAACCGATCCTTCGAGTGACCAGTTTTGAATCTCTCTTTTTATACAATCTGCAAGTGGATATTTGGAGCCCTTTGCGGCCTATGGTGGAAAAGGAAATATCTTCAAATAAAAACTACACAGAAATACTGTGAGAAACTTCTTTGTTATGTGAGCATTCAACTCACAGAGTTGAACCTATCTTTTGATTGAGCAGTTTTGAATCTCTCATTTTGCAGAATCTGCAAGGGGATATTTGGAGCCCTTTGTGGCCTATGGTGGAAAAGGAAATACCTTCAAATGAAAAGCACACAGAGGCATTCTGAGAAACTTCCTCGTGATTGTGCATTCAACTCACAGAGTTAAACCTATCTTATGATTGACCAGTTTTGGAACACTCTTTTCATAGGATCTGCAAGTGGATATTTGGCGTGCTTTGAGGCCTATCGTGGAAAAGCAAATAACTTCAGATAAAAACTATACAGAAGCATTCTGAGAAACTTCTTTGTGATGTGTGCATTGATCTCACAGAGTTGAAAGTGTATTTTGATTGAGCAGTTTTGAAACACTCTTTTTGTAGAATCTGCAAGTGGATAATTGGGGAGATTTGAGGTATATTGTGGAAAAGCAAGTATCTTCATATAAAAACTATACAGAAGCTTTCTGAGAAACATCTTTGTGAGGTTTGCATTCAACTCACAGAGCTGGAACTATCTTTTGAGTGACCAGTTTTGAATCTCTCTTTTTGTACAATCTGCAAGTGGATATTTGGAGCGTTTTGAGGCCTACATTTGAAAATCAAATATCTTCCCTTAAAAGCTACACAGAAACATTCTCAGAAATTGTTTGTCATGTGTGCTTTCAAATTACCAAGTTGAACCTACCTTGTGATTGAGCAGTTTTGAATCTCTCTTTTTGTGGAATCTGCAAGTGGATATTTTTAGCCATTTGCGGACTGTGGTGGAAAAGGAATTATCTTCAAATCCATTCTACACAGAAGCATTCAGACAAACTTTTTGTGATGAGTGCATTGGTCACACAGAATTGAACCTCTCCTTTGATTGAGCAATTCTGAAGCACTCTTTCAGAGGGTCTGCAAGTGGATATTTTAGAGCTTTGGGACAATTGTGGAAAAGAAAATATCTTCACATAGAAACTACACGGAAGCATTCTGAGCAAACTTCTTTGGAGGTGTGCATTCAACTCACAGAGTTGAACCTATCTTTTCATTGAGCAGTTTTGAATCTCTCTTTTTGTAGACTCTGCTTGCAGATATTTGGAGAGCTTTGAGGCCTATTGTGGAAAAGGGATCATCTTCACATAAAAACACACAGAAAGCACTCTGAGAAACTTCTTTGTGAGGTGTGCATTCAACTCACAGAGTTGAACCTATCTTTTGATGGAGAAGTTTTGAATCTCTCTTTTTGTAGAAGCTGCATGTGGATATTTGGAGACGTTTGTGGCCTATGGTAGAAAAGGATATATCTTCAAATAAAAACTAGACAGAGCATTTTGAGAAAATTCTCTGTGCTGTGTGCATTCATATCACATGGTTGAAACTACCTTTTGATTGAGCAGTTTCGAGTCTCTCTGTTTGTACCATCTGCAATGGATATTTGGAGCCCTTTGTGGTCTGTGGTGGAAAAGGAACTATCCTCAAATAAAAACTACACGGAAGTATTCTGAGAAACTTCTTTGTGATGTGTGCATTTATCTCACAGAGTTGAACCTTTGGTTTGATTGAGCAGTTTTGAGATAATCTTTCCATAGAATCTGGAAGTGAATACTTGGATAACTTTGAGATCTATTTTGGAGAAGGAGATATCTTTATATAAAAACTGCACAGAAGCATTCTGAGAAACATCTTTGTGAGGTGTGCAATGAAGTCACAGAGTTGAAACTATCTTTTGATTCAGCAGTTTTGAGTCTCTCTTTTTGCAGAATCTGCGAGTGGATATCTGGAGAAGGTTGAGGCCTACTTGGAAAAGGAAATATCTTCACATAAAAACTACGCAGAAGCATTTTGAGATACTTCTTTGTGAGGTGTGCATTCAACTCACAGAGTTGAACTTATCTTTCCATGGAGCACTTTCATATCTCTTTTTTTGTGGAATCTGCAAGTGGATATTTGGAGCTCTTTGCACCCTGTGGTGGAAAGGGAAATATCTTCATATAAAAACTACAAAGAAGCATTCAGAGAAACTTCTTTGTGATGAATGCATTCCTCACACAGAGTTGAGCCTTTCTTTTTGTTGAGCAGTATTGAAACGCTCTTTTTGCAGAATCACCAAGTGGATATTTGGAGAGCTTTGGGGCCTGATTTGGAAAATGAAATATCTTCAAAGTAAAACTACACAGAACCATTCTGAGAAACTTCTTTATGATGTGTGCATTCAACTCTCAGAGTTGAACCTACCTTATGATTGACCAATTTGGAAACACTCTTTTTGTAGAGCCTGCAAGTGGATATTTAGAACGATTTGAGGCCTATTGTGGAAAAGCAAATATCTTCACATAAAAACTACACAGAAGCATTCTGAGAAACTTCTTTGGCATGTGTGCATTCAACTAACAGTGTTGAACGTATCTTTTGATTGAGCAGCTTAGAATCTCTCTTTTTGTAGAAAATGCAAGTAGATATTTGGAGCCCCATTTTGCCCTATGGTAGAAAACAGAACATCTTCACATAAAAACTACACAGAAGCATTCTGAGAAACTTCTTTGTGATGTTTGCATTGAACTCCCAGAGTCGAACCTATCTTTTGATAGAGCACTTTTGTATCTCTCTTTTTGCGGAATCTGCAAGTGGATATTTGGAAAGCTTGAGGCCTATTGTGAAAAAGGAAATATCTTCACATAAAAACTACAGAGAAGCATTCTGAGAAACTTCTTTGTGAGGCATGGATTCAACCCACAGAGTTGGACTTATCATTGAGCAGTTTTGAATCTCTCTTTTTGTCGAATCTGCAAGTGGATATTTGGAGCCCTTTGCAACCTAGGGTGGAAAAGGAAATACCTTCAAATAAAAACTATATAGAAGCATTCCGTAAAACTTCTTTGTGACGTGTGCATTCGTCTCACAGAGTTGAACCTATCTAATGATTGAGCGGTTTTGAAACACTCATTTTGTAGAACCTGCAAGTGGATATTGGGAGTACTTTGTGGCCTTCTTTGGAAAAGGGAATATCTTCACATAAAAACTACAAAGAAGCATTCTGAGAAACTTCTTTGTGATGTGTGCATTCATCGCACAGTGTTGGACGTTTCTTTTGATAGGGCAGTTTTGAAACACTCTTTTTCTAGAATCTGCAAGTGGATATTTGGAGCGCTTTGAGGCCTAATGTGGAAAATCAAATATCTTCACATAAAAACTACACAGAGGCATTCTGAGAAACTTCTTTTTTTGTGTGTGCATTCAACTCACATAGTTGAAGTAATCTTTGGATTTAGCTGTTTTGAATCTCCTTTTTGCAGAATCTGCAAGTTGATACTTGGAGCCCTGTTTCACCCTATAGTGGAAAAGCAAATATCTTCACATAAACAAACCCTACAGAGAAGCATTCAGAGAAAGTCCTTTGTGATGTGTGCATTGAACATGCAGAGTTGACACTATCTTTTGATTGTACAGTTTTGAATACGTCTTTTTGTAGAATCTGCAAGTGGAAGTTTGGAGCTGTTTGCACCCTGTGGTGTAAAAGGAAATATCTTCATATAAAAGCTACACAGAAGCATTCAGAAAGACTTCTTTGTGATGAATGCGTTCCTCACACAGAGTTGAATCTTCCTTTTTATTGAGTAGTATTGAAACCCTCTTTTTGCAGAATAACCAGGTGGATATTTGGAGAGCTTTGAGGCCTGTTTTGGAAAAGGAAATATCTTCAAATTAAAACCACACAGAAGCATTCTGAGAAGCTTCTTTGTGATGTGTGCATTCAACTCTCAGAGTTCAACGTGTCTTATGATGGAGCAGTTTGGAAACACTCTTTTTTGTAGAAACTGCAAGTGGATATGTAGAGCGATTTGAGGCCTACTGTGGAAAAGCAAATATCTTCACATAAAAACTACACAGAAGCATTCTGAGAAACTTCTTTGGCATGTGTGCATTCAACTAACAGTGTTGAACGTATCTTTTGATTGAGCAGCTTAGAATCTCTCTTTTTGTAGAAAATGCAAGTAGATATTTGGAGCCCCATTTTGCCCTATGGTAGAAAACAAAACATCTTCACATAAAATCTACACAGAAGCATTCTGAGAAACTTCTTTGTGATGTTTGCATTGAACTCCCAGAGTCGAACCTATCTTTTGATAGAGCACTTTTGTATCTCTCTTTTTGCGGAATCTGCAAGTGGATATTTGGAAAGCTTGAGGCCTATTGTGAAAAAGGAAATATCTTCACATAAAAACTACAGAGAAGCATTCTGAGAAACTTCTTTGTGAGGCATGGATTCAACCCACAGAGTTGGACTTGTCATTGAGCAGTTTTGAATCTCTCTTTTTGTCGAATCTGCAAGTGGATATTTGGAGCCCTTTGTAACCTAGGGTGGAAAAGGAAATACCTTCAAATAAAAACTATATAGAAGCATTCCGTAAAACTTCTTTGTGACGTGTGCATTCGTCTCACAGAGTTGAACCTATCTAATGATTGAGCGGTTTTGAAACACTCATTTTGTAGAACCTGCAAGTGGATATTGGGAGTACTTTGTGGCCTTCTTTGGAAAAGGGAATATCTTCACATAAAAATTACAAAGAAGCATTCTGAGAAACTTCTTTGTGATGTGTGCATTCATCTCACAGTGTTGGACGTTTCTTTTGATAGGGCAGTTTTGAAACACTCTTTTTCTAGAATCTGCAAGTGGATATTTAGAGCGCTTTGAGGCCTAATGTGGAAAATCAAATATCTTCACATAAAAACTACACAGAGGCATTCTGAGAAACTTCTTTTTTGTGTGTGCATTCAACTCACATAGTTGAAGTAATCTTTGGATTTAGCTGTTTTGAATCTCCTTTTTGCAGAATCTGCAAGTTGATACTTGGAGCCCTGTTTCACCCTATAGTGGAAAAGCAAATATCTTCACATAAACAAACCCTACAGAGAAGCATTCAGAGAAAGTCCTTTGTGATGTGTGCATTGAACATGCAGAGTTGACACTATCTTTTGATTGTACAGTTTTGAATACGTCTTTTTGTAGAATCTGCAAGTGGAAGTTTGGAGCTGTTTGCACCCTGTGGTGTAAAAGGAAATATCTTCATATAAAAGCTACACAGAAGCATTCAGAAAGACTTCTTTGTGATGAATGCGTTCCTCACACAGAGTTGAATCTTCCTTTTTATTGAGTAGTATTGAAACCCTCTTTTTGCAGAATAACCAGGTGGATATTTGGAGAGCTTTGAGGCCTGTTTTGGAAAAGCAAATATCTTCAAATTAAAACCACACAGAAGCATTCTGAGAAGCTTCTTTGTGATGTGTGCATTCAACTCTCAGAGTTCAACGTGTCTTATGATGGAGCAGTTTGGAAACACTCTTTTTTGTAGAAACTGCAAGTGGATATGTAGAGCGATTTGAGGCCTACTGTGGAAAAGCAAATATCTTCACATAACAACTACACAGAAGCACTCCTAGAAACTTCTTTGTGATGTGTGAATTCAACTCACAGAGCTGAACCTATCTTTTGATGGAGTAGCTTAGAATCTCTCTTTTTTTAGAATCTGCACGTGGATATTTGGAGCGCTTTGAGACCTAAAGTGGAAAAGCAAATATCTTCACATAAAATCTACATAGAGGCACTCTAAGAAACTTCTTTTTGATGTGTGCATTCACCTCACAGAGCTGAACCGATCCTTCGAGTGACCAGTTTTGAATCTCTCTTTTTATACAATCTGCAAGTGGATATTTGGAGCCCTTTGCGGCCTATGGTGGAAAAGGAAATATCTTCAAATAAAAACTACACAGAAATACTGTGAGAAACTTCTTTGTTATGTGAGCATTCAACTCACAGAGTTGAACCTATCTTTTGATTGAGCAGTTTTGAATCTCTCATTTTGCAGAATCTGCAAGGGGATATTTGGAGCCCTTTGCGGCCTATGGTGGAAAAGGAAATACCTTCAAATGAAAAGCACACAGAGGCATTCTGAGAAACTTCCTCGTGATTGTGCATTCAACTCACAGAGTTAAACCTATCTTATGATTGACCAGTTTTGGAACACTCTTTTCATAGGATCTGCAAGTGGATATTTGGCGTGCTTTGAGGCCTATCGTGGAAAAGCAAATAACTTCAGATAAAAACTATACAGAAGCATTCTGAGAAACTTCTTTGTGATGTGTGCATTGATCTCACAGAGTTGAAAGTGTATTTTGATTGAGCAGTTTTGAAACACTCTTTTTGTAGAATCTGCAAGTGGATAATTGGGGAGATTTGAGGTATATTGTGGAAAAGCAAGTATCTTCATATAAAAACTATACAGAAGCTTTCTGAGAAACATCTTTGTGAGGTTTGCATTCAACTCACAGAGCTGGAACTATCTTTTGAGTGACCAGTTTTGAATCTCTCTTTTTGTACAATCTGCAAGTGGATATTTGGAGCGTTTTGAGGCCTACATTTGAAAATCAAATATCTTCCCTTAAAAGCTACACAGAAACATTCTCAGAAATTGTTTGTCATGTGTGCTTTCAAATTACCAAGTTGAACCTACCTTGTGATTGAGCAGTTTTGAATCTCTCTTTTTGTGGAATCTGCAAGTGGATATTTTTAGCCATTTGCGGACTGTGGTGGAAAAGGAATTATCTTCAAATCCATTCTACACAGAAGCATTCAGACAAACTTTGTGATGAGTGCATTGGTCACACAGAATTGAACCTCTCCTTTGATTGAGCAATTCTGAAGCACTCTTTCAGAGGGTCTGCAAGTGGATATTTTAGAGCTTTGGGACAATTGTGGAAAAGTAAATATCTTCACATAGAAACTACACGGAAGCATTCTGAGAAACTTCTTTGGAGGTGTGCATTCAACTCACAGAGTTGAACCTATCTTTTCATTGAGCAGTTTTGAATCTCTCTTTTTGTAGACTCTGCTTGCAGATACTTGGAGAGCTTTGAGGCCTATTGTGGAAAAGGAATCATCTTCACATAAAAACACACAGAAGCACTCTGAGAAACTTCTTTGTGAAGTGTGCATTCAACTCACAGAGTTGAACCTATCTTTTGATTGAGAAGCTTTGAATCTCTCTTTTTGTAGAAGCTGCATGTGGATATTTGGAGACGTTTGTGGCCTATGGTAGAAAAGGCAATATCTTCAAATAAAAACTAGACAGAAGCATTTTGAGAAATTTCTCTGTGCTGTGTGCATTCATATCACATGGTTGAAACTACCTTTTGGTTGAGCAGTTTTGAATCTCTCTTTTTGTAACATCTGCAATGGATATTTGGAGCCCTTTGTGGTCTGTGGTGGAAAAGGAACTATCCTCAAATAAAAACTACACAGAAGTATTCTGAGAAACTTCCTTGTGATGTGTGCATTCATCTCACAGGGTTGAACCTTTGGTTTGATTGAGCAGTTTTGAGACAATCTTTCCATAGAATCTGGAAGTGAATATTTGGAGAACCTTGAGATCTATTTTGGAGAAGGAGATATCTTTATATGAAAACTGCACAGAAGCATTCTGAGAAACATCTTTGTGAGGTGTGCAATGAAGTCACAGAGTTGAAACTATGTTTTGATTCAGCAGTTTTGAGTCTCTCTTTTTGCAGAATCTGCGAGTGGATATCTGGAGAACTTGGAGGCCTATTTGGAAAAGGAAATATCTTCACATATAAACTATGCAGAAGCATTTTGAGATTCTTCTTTGTGAGGTGTGCATGCAACTCACAGAGTTGAACTTATCTTTTCCTTGAGCACTTTCGTATCTCATTTTCTGTAGAATCTGCAAGTGGATATTTGGAGCTCTTTGCACCCTGTGGTGGAAAGGGAACTATCTTCATATAAAAACTACAAAGAAGCATTCAGAGAAACTTCTTTGTGATGAATGCATTCCTCACACAGAGCTGAACGTTTCTTTTTATTGAGCAGTATTGAAACGCTCTTTTTGCAGAATCACCAAGTGGATATTTGGAGAGCTTTGGGGCCTGTTTTGGAAAATGAAATATCTTCAAAGTAAAACTACACAGAACCATTCTGAGAAACTTCTTTATGATGTGTGCATTCAACTCTCAGAGTTGAACCTACCTTATGATTGACCAATTTGGAAACACTCTTTTTGTAGAGCCTGCAAGTGGATATTTAGAACGATTTGAGGCCTATTGTGGAAAAGCAAATATCTTCACATAAAAACTACACAGAAGCATTCTGAGAAACTTCTTTGGCATGTGTGCATTCAACTAACAGTGTTGAACGTATCTTTTGATTGAGCAGCTTAGAATCTCTCTTTTTGTAGAAAATGCAAGTAGATATTTGGAGCCCCATTTTGCCCTATGGTAGAAAACAGAACATCTTCACATAAAAACTACACAGAAGCATTCTGAGAAACTTCTTTGTGATGTTTGCATTGAACTCCCAGAGTCGAACCTATCTTTTGATAGAGCACTTTTGTATCTCTCTTTTTGCGGAATCTGCAAGTGGATATTTGGAAAGCTTGAGGCCTATTGTGAAAAAGGAAATATCTTCACATAAAAACTACAGAGAAGCATTCTGAGAAACTTCTTTGTGAGGCATGGATTCAACCCACAGAGTTGGACTTATCATTGAGCAGTTTTGAATCTCTCTTTTTGTCGAATCTGCAAGTGGATATTTGGAGCCCTTTGCAACCTAGGGTGGAAAAGGAAATACCTTCAAATAAAAACTATATAGAAGCATTCCGTAAAACTTCTTTGTGACGTGTGCATTCGTCTCACAGAGTTGAACCTATCTAATGATTGAGCGGTTTTGAAACACTCATTTTGTAGAACCTGCAAGTGGATATTGGGAGTACTTTGTGGCCTTCTTTGGAAAAGGGAATATCTTCACATAAAAACTACAAAGAAGCATTCTGAGAAACTTCTTTGTGATGTGTGCATTCATCTCACAGTGTTGGACGTTTCTTTTGATAGGGCAGTTTTGAAACACTCTTTTTCTAGAATCTGCAAGTGGATATTTGGAGCGCTTTGAGGCCTAATGTGGAAAATCAAATATCTTCACATAAAAACTACACAGAGGCATTCTGAGAAACTTCTTTTTTTGTGTGTGCATTCAACTCACATAGTTGAAGTAATCTTTGGATTTAGCTGTTTTGAATCTCCTTTTTGCAGAATCTGCAAGTTGATACTTGGAGCCCTGTTTCACCCTATAGTGGAAAAGCAAATATCTTCACATAAACAAACCCTACAGAGAAGCATTCAGAGAAAGTCCTTTGTGATGTGTGCATTGAACATGCAGAGTTGACACTATCTTTTGATTGTACAGTTTTGAATACGTCTTTTTGTAGAATCTGCAAGTGGAAGTTTGGAGCTGTTTGCACCCTGTGGTGTAAAAGGAAATATCTTCATATAAAAGCTACACAGAAGCATTCAGAAAGACTTCTTTGTGATGAATGCGTTCCTCACACAGAGTTGAATCTTCCTTTTTATTGAGTAGTATTGAAACCCTCTTTTTGCAGAATAACCAGGTGGATATTCGGAGAGCTTTGAGGCCTGTTTTGGAAAAGGAAATATCTTCAAATTAAAACCACACAGAAGCATTCTGAGAAGCTTCTTTGTGATGTGTGCATTCAACTCTCAGAGTTGAACGTGTCTTATGATGGAGCAGTTTGGAAACACTCTTTTTGTAGAAACTGCAAGTGGATATGTAGAGCGATTTGAGGCCTACTGTGGAAAAGCAAATATCTTCACATAACAACTACACAGAAGCACTCCTAGAAACTTCTTTGTGATGTGTGAATTCAACTCACAGAGCTGAACCTATCTTTTGATGGAGTAGCTTAGAATGTCTCTTTTTTTAGAATCTGCACGTGGATATTTGGAGCGCTTTGAGACCTAAAGTGGAAAAGCAAATATCTTCACATAAAATCTACATAGAGGCACTCTAAGAAACTTCTTTTTGATGTGTGCATTCAACTCACAGAGCGGAAGCACACAGTGCTTGAGTGACCAGTTTTGAATCTCTCTTTTTGTACAATCTGCAAGTGGATATTGGGAGCCCTTTGCGGCCTGTGGTGGAAAAGGAAATATCTTCAAATAAAAACTACACAGAAGCATTCTGAGAAACTTCTTTGTGATGTGTACATTCATCTCACAGAGTTGACAATTTCTTTTGATTGAGCAGTTTTGAAACACTGCTTTTGTAGAGTCTGGAAGTTGATATTTGGAGGGCTTTGAGGTCTATTTCGGAAAAGAAAATATCTTCACTTAAAAACTAGGCAGAAATACTGTGAGAAACTTCTTTGTTATGTGAGCATTCAACTCACAGAGCTGAACCTATCTTTTGATTGAGCAGTTTTGAATCTCTCATTTTGCAGAATCTGCAAGGGGATATTTGGAGCCCTTTGCTACCTATGGTGGAAAAGGAAATACCTTCAAATAAAAACTACACAGAGGCATTCTGAGAAACTTCTTGTGATTGTGCATTCAACTCACAGAGTTAAACCTATCTTATGATTGACCAGTTTTGGAACACTGTTTTCACAGGATCTGCAAGTGGATATTTGGTGTGCTTTGAGGCCTATCGTGGAAAAGCAAGTAACTTCAGATAAAAACTATACAGAAGCATTCTGAGAAACTTCTTTGTGATGTGTGCATTGATCTCACAGAGTTGAAAGTGTATTTTGATTGAGCAGTTTTGAAACACTCTTTTTGTAGAATCTGCAAGTGGATAATTGGGGAGATTTGAGGTATATTGTGGAAAAGCAAGTATCTTCATATAAAAACTATACAGAAGCTTTCTGAGAAACATCTTTGTGAGGTTTGCATTCAACTCACAGAGCTGGAACTATCTTTTGAGTGACCAGTTTTGAATCTCTCTTTTTGTACAATCTGCAAGTGGATATTTGGAGCGTTTTGAGGCCTACATTTGAAAATCAAATATCTTCCCTTAAAAGCTACACAGAAACATTCTCAGAAATTGTTTGTCATGTGTGCTTTCAAATTACCAAGTTGAACCTACCTTGTGATTGAGCAGTTTTGAATCTCTCTTTTTGTGGAATCTGCAAGTGGATATTTTTAGCCATTTGCGGACTGTGGTGGAAAAGGAATTATCTTCAAATCCATTCTACACAGAAGCATTCAGACAAACTTTTTGTGATGAGTGCATTGGTCACACAGAATTGAACCTCTCCTTTGATTGAGCAATTCTGAAACACTCTTTCAGAGGGTCTGCAAGTGGATATTTTAGAGCTTTGGGACAATTGTGGAAAAGTAAATATCTTCACATAGAAACTACACGGAAGCATTCTGAGAAACTTCTTTGGAGGTGTGCATTCAACTCACAGAGTTGAACCTATCTTTTCATTGAGCAGTTTTGAATCTCTCTTTTTGTAGACTCTGCTTGCAGATACTTGGAGAGCTTTGAGGCCTATTGTGGAAAAGGAATCATCTTCACATAAAAACACACAGAAGCACTCTGAGAAACTTCTTTGTGAAGTGTGCATTCAACTCACAGAGTTGAACCTATCTTTTGATTGAGAAGCTTTGAATCTCTCTTTTTGTAGAAGCTGCATGTGGATATTTGGAGACGTTTGTGGCCTATGGTAGAAAAGGCAATATCTTCAAATAAAAACTAGACAGAAGCATTTTGAGAAAATTCTCTGTGCTGTGTGCATTCATATCACATGGTTGAAACTACCTTTTGATTGAGCAGTTTCGAGTCTCTCTGTTTGTACCATCTGCAATGGATATTTGGAGCCCTTTGTGGTCTGTGGTGGAAAAGGAACTATCCTCAAATAAAAACTACACGGGAAGTATTCCGAGAAACTTCCTTGTGATGTGTGCATTCATCTCACAGGGTTGAACCTTTGGTTTGATTGAGCAGTTTTGAGACAATCTTTCCATAGAATCTGGAAGTGAATATTTGGAGAACCTTGAGATCTATTTTGGAGAAGGAGATATCTTTATATGAAAACTGCACAGAAGCATTCTGAGAAACATCTTTGTGAGGTGTGCAATGAAGTCACAGAGTTGAAACTATGTTTTGATTCAGCAGTTTTGAGTCTCTCTTTTTGCAGAATCTGCGAGTGGATATCTGGAGAACTTGGAGGCCTATTTGGAAAAGGAAATATCTTCACATATAAACTATGCAGAAGCATTTTGAGATTCTTCTTTGTGAGGTGTGCATGCAACTCACAGAGTTGAACTTATCTTTTCCTTGAGCACTTTCGTATCTCATTTTCTGTAGAATCTGCAAGTGGATATTTGGAGCTCTTTGCACCCTGTGGTGGAAAGGGAACTATCTTCATATAAAAACTACAAAGAAGCATTCAGAGAAACTTCTTTGTGATGAATGCATTCCTCACACAGAGCTGAACGTTTCTTTTTATTGAGCAGTATTGAAACGCTCTTTTTGCAGAATCACCAAGTGGATATTTGGAGAGCTTTGGGGCCTGTTTTGGAAAATGAAATATCTTCAAAGTAAAACTACACAGAACCATTCTGAGAAACTTCTTTATGATGTGTGCATTCAACTCTCAGAGTTGAACCTACCTTATGATTGACCAATTTGGAAACACTCTTTTTGTAGAGCCTGCAAGTGGATATTTAGAACGATTTGAGGCCTATTGTGGAAAAGCAAATATCTTCACATAAAAACTACACAGAAGCATTCTGAGAAACTTCTTTGGCATGTGTGCATTCAACTAACAGTGTTGAACGTATCTTTTGATTGAGCAGCTTAGAATCTCTCTTTTTGTAGAAAATGCAAGTAGAGATTTGGAGCCCCATTTTGCCCTATGGTAGAAAACAGAACATCTTCACATAAAAACTACACAGAAGCATTCTGAGAAACTTCTTTGTGATGTTTGCATTGAACTCCCAGAGTCGAACCTATCTTTTGATAGAGCACTTTTGTATCTCTCTTTTTGCGGAATCTGCAAGTGGATATTTGGAAAGCTTGAGGCCTATTGTGAAAAAGGAAATATCTTCACATAAAAACTACAGAGAAGCATTCTGAGAAACTTCTTTGTGAGGCATGGATTCAACCCACAGAGTTGGACTTATCATTGAGCAGTTTTGAATGTCTCTTTTTGTCGAATCTGCAAGTGGATATTTGGAGCCCTTGGCAACCTAGGGTGGAAAAGGAAATACCTTCAAATAAAAACTATATAGAAGCATTCCGTAAAACTTCTTTGTGACGTGTGCATTCGTCTCACAGAGTTGAACCTATCTAATGATTGAGCGGTTTTGAAACACTCATTTTGTAGAACCTGCAAGTGGATATTGGGAGTACTTTGTGGCCTTCTTTGGAAAAGGGAATATCTTCACATAAAAATTACAAAGAAGCATTCTGAGAAACTTCTTTGTGATGTGTGCATTCATCTCACAGTGTTGGACGTTTCTTTTGATAGGGCAGTTTTGAAACACTCTTTTTCTAGAATCTGCAAGTGGATATTTAGAGCGCTTTGAGGCCTAATGTGGAAAATCAAATATCTTCACATAAAAACTACACAGAAGGCATTCTGAGAAACTTCTTTTTTGTGTGTGCATTCAACTCACATAGTTGAAGTAATCTTTGGATTTAGCTGTTTTGAATCTCCTTTTTGCAGAATCTGCAAGTTGATACTTGGAGCCCTGTTTCACCCTATAGTGGAAAAGCAAATGTCTTCACATAAACAAACCCTACAGAGAAGCATTCAGAGAAAGTCCTTTGTGATGTGTGCATTGAACATGCAGAGTTGACACTATCTTTTGATTGTACAGTTTTGAATACGTCTTTTTGTAGAATCTGCAAGTGGAAGTTTGGAGCTGTTTGCACCCTGTGGTGTAAAAGGAAATATCTTCATATAAAAGCTACACAGAAGCATTCAGAAAGACTTCTTTGTGATGAATGCGTTCCTCACACAGAGTTGAATCTTCCTTTTTATTGAGTAGTATTGAAACCCTCTTTTTGCAGAATAACCAGGTGGATATTTGGAGAGCTTTGAGGCCTGTTTTGGAAAAGGAAATATCTTCAAATTAAAACCACACAGAAGCATTCTGAGAAGCTTCTTTGTGATGTGTGCATTCAACTCTCAGAGTTCAACGTGTCTTATGATGGAGCAGTTTGGAAACACTCTTTTTTGTAGAAACTGCAAGTGGATATGTAGAGCGATTTGAGGCCTACTGTGGAAAAGCAAATATCTTCACATAACAACTACACAGAAGCACTCCTAGAAACTTCTTTGTGATGTGTGAATTCAACTCACAGAGCTGAACCTATCTTTTGATGGAGTAGCTTAGAATCTCTCTTTTTTTAGAATCTGCACGTGGATATTTGGAGCGCTTTGAGACCTAAAGTGGAAAAGCAAATATCTTCACATAAAATCTACATAGAGGCACTCTAAGAAACTTCTTTTTGATGTGTGCATTCACCTCACAGAGCTGAACCGATCCTTCGAGTGACCAGTTTTGAATCTCTCTTTTTATACAATCTGCAAGTGGATATTTGGAGCCCTTTGCGGCCTATGGTGGAAAAGGAAATATCTTCAAATAAAAACTACACAGAAGAAACTTCTTTGTTATGTGAGCATTCAACTCACAGACTTGAACCTATCTTTTGATTGAGCAGTTTTGAATCTCTCATTTTGCAGAATCTGCAAGGGGATATTTGGAGCCCTTTGCGGCCTATGGTGGAAAAGGAAATACCTTCAAATGAAAAGCACACAGAGGCATTCTGAGAAACTTCCTCGTGATTGTGCATTCAACTCACAGAGTTAAACCTATCTTATGATTGACCAGTTTTGGAACACTCTTTTCATAGGATCTGCAAGTGGATATTTGGCGTGCTTTGAGGCCTATCGTGGAAAAGCAAATAACTTCAGATAAAAACTATACAGAAGCATTCTGAGAAACTTCTTTGTGATGTGTGCATTGATCTCACAGAGTTGAAAGTGTATTTTGATTGAGCAGTTTTGAAACACTCTTTTTGTAGAATCTGCAAGTGGATAATTGGGGAGATTTGAGGTATATTGTGGAAAAGCAAGTATCTTCATATAAAAACTATACAGAAGCTTTCTGAGAAACATCTTTGTGAGGTTTGCATTCAACTCACAGAGCTGGAACTATCTTTTGAGTGACCAGTTTTGAATCTCTCTTTTTGTACAATCTGCAAGTGGATATTTGGAGCGTTTTGAGGCCTACATTTGAAAATCAAATATCTTCCCTTAAAAGCTACACAGAAACATTCTCAGAAATTGTTTGTCATGTGTGCTTTCAAATTACCAAGTTGAACCTACCTTGTGATTGAGCAGTTTTGAATCTCTCTTTTTGTGGAATCTGCAAGTGGATATTTTTAGCCATTTGCGGACTGTGGTGGAAAAGGAATTATCTTCAAATCCATTCTACACAGAAGCATTCAGACAAACTTCTTGGTGATGAGTGCATTGGTCACACAGAATTGAACCTCTCCTTTGATTGAGCAATTCTGAAACACTCTTTCAGAGGGTCTGCAAGTGGATATTTTAGAGCTTTGGGACAATTGTGGAAAAGTAAATATCTTCACATAGAAACTACACGGAAGCATTCTGAGAAACTTCTTTGGAGGTGTGCATTCAACTCACAGAGTTGAACCTATCTTTTCATTGAGCAGTTTTGAATCTCTCTTTTTGTAGACTCTGCTTGCAGATACTTGGAGAGCTTTGAGGCCTATTGTGGAAAAGGAATCATCTTCACATAAAAACACACAGAAGCACTCTGAGAAACTTCTTTGTGACGTGTGCATTCAACTCACAGAGTTGAACCTATCTTTTGATTGAGAAGCTTTGAATCTCTCTTTTTGTAGAAGCTGCATGTGGATATTTGGAGACGTTTGTGGCCTATGGTAGAAAAGGCAATATCTTCAAATAAAAACTAGACAGAAGCATTTTGAGAAATTTCTCTGTGCTGTGTGCATTCATATCACATGGTTGAAACTACCTTTTGGTTGAGCAGTTTTGAATCTCTCTTTTTGTAACATCTGCAATGGATATTTGGAGCCCTTTGTGGTCTGTGGTGGAAAAGGAACTATCCTCAAATAAAAACTACACAGAAGTATTCCGAGAAACTTCCCTTGTGATGTGTGCATTCATCTCACAGGGTTGAACCTTTGGTTTGATTGAGCAGTTTTGAGACAATCTTTCCATAGAATCTGGAAGTGAATATTTGGAGAACCTTGAGATCTATTTTGGAGAAGGAGATATCTTTATATGAAAACTGCACAGAAGCATTCTGAGAAACATCTTTGTGAGGTGTGCAATGAAGTCACAGAGTTGAAACTATGCTTTGATTCAGCAGTTTTGAGTCTCTCTTTTTGCAGAATCTGCGAGTGGATATCTGGAGAACTTGGAGGCCTATTTGGAAAAGGAAATATCTTCACATATAAACTATGCAGAAGCATTTTGAGATTCTTCTTTGTGAGGTGTGCATGCAACTAACAGAGTTGAACTTATCTTTTCCTTGAGCACTTTCGTATCTCATTTTCTGTAGAATCTGCAAGTGGATATTTGGAGCTCTTTGCACCCTGTGGTGGAAAGGGAACTATCTTCATATAAAAACTACAAAGAAGCATTCAGAGAAACTTCTTTGTGATGAATGCATTCCTCACACAGAGCTGAACGTTTCTTTTTATTGAGCAGTATTGAAACGCTCTTTTTGCAGAATCACCAAGTGGATATTTGGAGAGCTTTGGGGCCTGTTTTGGAAAATGAAATATCTTCAAAGTAAAACTACACAGAACCATTCTGAGAAACTTCTTTATGATGTGTGCATTCAACTCTCAGAGTTGAACCTACCTTATGATTGACCAATTTGGAAACACTCTTTTTGTAGAGCCTGCAAGTGGATATTTAGAACGATTTGAGGCCTATTGTGGAAAAGCAAATATCTTCACATAAAAACTACACAGAAGCATTCTGAGAAACTTCTTTGGCATGTGTGCATTCAACTAACAGTGTTGAACGTATCTTTTGATTGAGCAGCTTAGAATCTCTCTTTTTGTAGAAAATGCAAGTAGAGATTTGGAGCCCCATTTTGCCCTATGGTAGAAAACAGAACATCTTCACATAAAAACTACACAGAAGCATTCTGAGAAACTTCTTTGTGATGTTTGCATTGAACTCCCAGAGTCGAACCTATCTTTTGATAGAGCACTTTTGTATCTCTCTTTTTGCGGAATCTGCAAGTGGATATTTGGAAAGCTTGAGACCTATTGTGAAAAAGGAAATATCTTCACATAAAAACTACAGAGAAGCATTCTGAGAAACTTCTTTGTGAGGCATGGATTCAACCCACAGAGTTGGACTTATCATTGAGCAGTTTTGAATCTCTCTTTTTGTCGAATCTGCAAGTGGATATTTGGAGCCCTTGGCAACCTAGGGTGGAAAAGGAAATACCTTCAAATAAAAACTATATAGAAGCATTCCGTAAAACTTCTTTGTGATGTGTGCATTCGTCTCACAGAGTTGAACCTATCTAATGATTGAGCGGTTTTGAAACACTCATTTTGTAGAACCTGCAAGTGGATATTGGGAGTACTTTGTGGCCTTCTTTGGAAAAGGGAATATCTTCACATAAAAATTACAAAGAAGCATTCTGAGAAACTTCTTTGTGATGTGTGCATTCATCTCACAGTGTTGGACGTTTCTTTTGATAGGGCAGTTTTGAAACACTCTTTTTCTAGAATCTGCAAGTGGATATTTAGAGCGCTTTGAGGCCTAATGTGGAAAATCAAATATCTTCACATAAAAACTACACAGAGGCATTCTGAGAAACTTCTTTTTTGTGTGTGCATTCAACTCACATAGTTGAAGTAATCTTTGGATTTAGCTGTTTTGAATCTCCTTTTTGCAGAATCTGCAAGTTGATACTTGGAGCCCTGTTTCACCCTATAGTGGAAAAGCAAATATCTTCACATAAACAAACCCTACAGAGAAGCATTCAGAGAAAGTCCTTTGTGATGTGTGCATTGAACATGCAGAGTTGACACTATCTTTTGATTGTACAGTTTTGAATACGTCTTTTTGTAGAATCTGCAAGTGGAAGTTTGGAGCTGTTTGCACCCTGTGGTGTAAAAGGAAATATCTTCATATAAAAGCTACACAGAAGCATTCAGAAAGACTTCTTTGTGATGAATGCGTTCCTCACACAGAGTTGAATCTTCCTTTTTATTGAGTAGTATTGAAACCCTCTTTTTGCAGAATAACCAGGTGGATATTCGGAGAGCTTTGAGGCCTGTTTTGGAAAAGGAAATATCTTCAAATTAAAACCACACAGAAGCATTCTGAGAAGCTTCTTTGTGATGTGTGCATTCAACTCTCAGAGTTGAACGTGTCTTATGATGGAGCAGTTTGGAAACACTCTTTTTGTAGAAACTGCAAGTGGATATGTAGAGCGATTTGAGGCCTACTGTGGAAAAGCAAATATCTTCACATAACAACTACACAGAAGCACTCCTAGAAACTTCTTTGTGATGTGTGAATTCAACTCACAGAGCTGAACCTATCTTTTGATGGAGTAGCTTAGAATCTCTCTTTTTTTAGAATCTGCACGTGGATATTTGGAGCGCTTTGAGACCTAAAGTGGAAAAGCAAATATCTTCACATAAAATCTACATAGAGGCACTCTAAGAAACTTCTTTTTGATGTGTGCATTCACCTCACAGAGCTGAACCGATCCTTTGAGTGACCAGTTTTGAATCTCTCTTTTTGTACAATCTGCAAGTGGATATTTGGAGCCCTTTGTGGCCTATGGTGGAAAAGGAAATATCTTCAAATAAAAACTACACAGAAGAAACTTCTTTGTTATGTGAGCATTCAACTCACAGAGTTGAACCTATCTTTTGATTGAGCAGTTTTGAATCTCTCATTTTGCAGAATCTGCAAGGGGATATTTGGAGCCCTTTGCGGCCTATGGTGGAAAAGGAAATACCTTCAAATGAAAAGCACACAGAGGCATTCTGAGAAACTTCCTCGTGATTGTGCATTCAACTCACAGAGTTAAACCTATCTTATGATTGACCAGTTTTGGAACACTCTTTTCATAGGATCTGCAAGTGGATATTTGGCGTGCTTTGAGGCCTATCGTGGAAAAGAGCATTCTGAGAAACTTCTTTGTGATGTGTGCATTGATCTCACAGAGTTGAAAGTGTATTTTGATTGAGCAGTTTTGAAACACTCTTTTTGTAGAATCTGCAAGTGGATAATTGGGGAGATTTGAGGTATATTGTGGAAAAGCAAGTATCTTCATATAAAAACTATACAGAAGCTTTCTGAGAAACATCTTTGTGAGGTTTGCATTCAACTCACAGAGCTGGAACTATCTTTTGAGTGACCAGTTTTGAATCTCTCTTTTTGTACAATCTGCAAGTGGATATTTGGAGCGTTTTGAGGCCTACATTTGAAAATCAAATATCTTCCCTTAAAAGCTACACAGAAACATTCTCAGAAATTGTTTGTCATGTGTGCTTTCAAATTACCAAGTTGAACCTACCTTGTGATTGAGCAGTTTTGAATCTCTCTTTTTGTGGAATCTGCAAGTGGATATTTTTAGCCATTTGCGGACTGTGGTGGAAAAGGAATTATCTTCAAATCCATTCTACACAGAAGCATTCAGACAAACTTTTTGTGATGAGTGCATTGGTCACACAGAATTGAACCTCTCCTTTGATTGAGCAATTCTGAAACACTCTTTCAGAGGGTCTCGCAAGTGGATATTTTAGAGCTTTGGGACAATTGTGGAAAAGTAAATATCTTCACATAGAAACTACACGGAAGCATTCTGAGAAACTTCTTTGGAGGTGTGCATTCAACTCACAGAGTTGAACCTATCTTTTCATTGAGCAGTTTTGAATCTCTCTTTTTGTAGACTCTGCTTGCAGATACTTGGAGAGCTTTGAGGCCTATTGTGGAAAAGGAATCATCTTCACATAAAAACACACAGAAGCACTCTGAGAAACTTCTTTGTGAAGTGTGCATTCAACTCACAGAGTTGAACCTATCTTTTGATTGAGAAGCTTTGAATCTCTCTTTTTGTAGAAGCTGCATGTGGATATTTGGAGACGTTTGTGGCCTATGGTAGAAAAGGCAATATCTTCAAATAAAAACTAGACAGAAGCATTTTGAGAAATTTCTCTGTGCTGTGTGCATTCATATCACATGGTTGAAACTACCTTTTGGTTGAGCAGTTTTGAATCTCTCTTTTTGTAACATCTGCAATGGATATTTGGAGCCCTTTGTGGTCTGTGGTGGAAAAGGAACTATCCTCAAATAAAAACTACACAGAAGTATTCCGAGAAACTTCCTTGTGATGTGTGCATTCATCTCACAGGGTTGAACCTTTGGTTTGATTGAGCAGTTTTGAGACAATCTTTCCATAGAATCTGGAAGTGAATATTTGGAGAACCTTGAGATCTATTTTGGAGAAGGAGATATCTTTATATGAAAACTGCACAGAAGCATTCTGAGAAACATCTTTGTGAGGTGTGCAATGAAGTCACAGAGTTGAAACTATGTTTTGATTCAGCAGTTTTGAGTCTCTCTTTTTGCAGAATCTGCGAGTGGATATCTGGAGAACTTGGAGGCCTATTTGGAAAAGGAAATATCTTCACATATAAACTATGCAGAAGCATTTTGAGATTCTTCTTTGTGAGGTGTGCATGCAACTCACAGAGTTGAACTTATCTTTTCCTTGAGCACTTTCGTATCTCATTTTCTGTAGAATCTGCAAGTGGATATTTGGAGCTCTTTGCACCCTGTGGTGGAAAGGGAACTATTTTCATATAAAAACTACAAAGAAGCATTCAGAGAAACTTCTTTGTGATGAATGCATTCCTCACACAGAGCTGAACGTTTCTTTTTATTGAGCAGTATTGAAACGCTCTTTTTGCAGAATCACCAAGTGGATATTTGGAGAGCTTTGGGGCCTGTTTTGGAAAATGAAATATCTTCAAAGTAAAACTACACAGAACCATTCTGAGAAACTTCTTTATGATGTGTGCATTCAACTCTCAGAGTTGAACCTACCTTATGATTGACCAATTTGGAAACACTCTTTTTGTAGAGCCTGCAAGTGGATATTTAGAACGATTTGAGGCCTATTGTGGAAAAGCAAATATCTTCACATAAAAACTACACAGAAGCATTCTGAGAAACTTCTTTGGCATGTGTGCATTCAACTAACAGTGTTGAACCTATCTTTTGATTGAGCAGCTTAGAATCTCTCTTTTTGTAGAAAATGCAAGTAGATATTTGGAGCCCCATTTTGCCCTATGGTAGAAAACAGAACATCTTCACATAAAAACTACACAGAAGCATTCTGAGAAACTTCTTTGTGATGTTTGCATTGAACTCCCAGAGTCGAACCTATCTTTTGATAGAGCAGTTTTGTATCTCTCTTTTTGCAGAATCTGCAAGTGGATATTTGGAAAGCTTGAGGCCTATTGTGAAAAAGGAAATATCTTCACATAGAAACTACAGAGAGAGCATTCTGAGAAACTTCTCTGTGAGGCATGGATTCAACCCACAGAGTTGGACTTATCATTGAGCAGTTTTGAATCTCTCTTTTGGTCGAATCTGCAAGTGGATATTTGGAGCCCTTTTGCAACCTATGGTGGAAAAGGAAACACCTTCACATAAAAACTATATAGAGCATTCCGAAAAACTTCTTTGTGATGTGTGCATTCATCTCACAGAGTTGAACCTATCTAATGATTGAGCAGTTTTGAAACACTCATTTTGTAGAACCTGGAAGTGGATATTGGGAGTAGTTTGTGGCCTTCTTTGGAAAAGGAAATATCTTCACATGAAAACTACAAAGAAGCATTCTGAGAAACTTCTTTGTGATGTGTGCATGCATCTCACAGTGTTGGACGTTTCTTTTGATGGGGCAGTTTCGAAAGAGTCTTCTTGTAGAGTCTGCAAGTGGATATTTGGAGCGCTTTGAGGCCTAATGTGGAAAATCAAATATCTTCACATAAAAACTACACAGAGGCATTCTGAGAAACTTCTTTTTTGTGTGTGCATTCAACTCACATAGTTGAAGTTATCTTTCGATTTAGCTGTTTTGAATCTCCTTTTTGCAGAATCTGCAAGTTGATACCTGGAGCCCTGTTTCACCCTATAGTGGAAAAGCAAATCTCTTCACATAAACAAACACTACAGAGAAGCATTCAGAGAAAGTCCTTTGTGATGTGTGCATTGAACACGCAGAGTTGAAACTATCTTTTGATTGTACAGTTTTGAATATCTCTTTTTGTAGAATCTGCAAGTGGAAGTTTGGAGCTGTTTGCACGCTGTGGTGCAAAAGGAAATATCTTCATATAAAAACTACACAGAAGCTTTCAGAGAGACTTCTTTGTGAGGAATGCGTTCCTCACACAGAGTTGAATCTACCTTTTTATTGAGTAGTTTTGAAACCCTCTTTTTGCAGAATAACCAGGGGGATATTTGGAGAGCTTTGAGGCCTGTTTTGGAAAAGGAAATATCTTCAAATTAAAACCACACAGAAGCATTCTGAGAAACTTCTTTGTGATGTGTGCATTCAACTCTCAGAGTTGAACGTGTCTTATGATGGAGCAGTTTGGAAACACTCTTTTTGTAGAAACTGCAAGTGGATATGTAGAGCGATTTGAGGCCTACTGTGGAAAAGCAAATATCTTCACATAACAACTACACAGAAGCACTCCTAGAAACTTCTTTGTGATGTGTGAATTCAACTCACAGAGCTGAACCTATCTTTTGATGGAGTAGCTTAGAATGTCTCTTTTTTTAGAATCTGCACGTGGATATTTGGAGCGCTTTGAGACCTAAAGTGGAAAAGCAAATATCTTCACATAAAATCTACATAGAGGCACTCTAAGAAACTTCTTTTTGATGTGTGCATTCAACTCACAGAGCGGAAGCACACAGTGCTTGAGTGACCAGTTTTGAATCTCTCTTTTTGTACAATCTGCAAGTGGATATTGGGAGCCCTTTGCGGCCTGTGGTGGAAAAGGAAATATCTTCAAATAAAAACTACACAGAAGCATTCTGAGAAACTTCTTTGTGATGTGTACATTCATCTCACAGAGTTGACAATTTCTTTTGATTGAGCAGTTTTGAAACACTGCTTTTGTAGAGTCTGGAAGTTGATATTTGGAGGGCTTTGAGGTCTATTTCGGAAAAGAAAATATCTTCACTTAAAAACTAGGCAGAAATACTGTGAGAAACTTCTTTGTTATGTGAGCATTCAACTCACAGAGCTGAACCTATCTTTTGATTGAGCAGTTTTGAATCTCTCATTTTGCAGAATCTGCAAGGGGATATTTGGAGCCCTTTGCTACCTAGGGTGGAAAAGGAAATACCTCCAAATAAAAACTACACAGAGGCATTCTGAGAAACTTCTTGTGATTGTGCATTCAACTCACAGAGTTAAACCTATCTTATGATTGACCAGTTTTGGAACACTGTTTTCACAGGATCTGCAAGTGGATATTTGGTGTGCTTTGAGGCCTATCGTGGAAAAGCAAGTAACTTCAGATAAAAACTATACAGAAGCATTCTGAGAAACTTCTTTGTGATGTGTGCATTGATCTCACAGAGTTGAAAGTGTATTTTGATTGAGCAGTTTTAAAACACTCCTTCTGTAGAATCTGCAAGTGGATAATTGGAGAGATTTGAGGTATGTTGTGGAAAAGCAAATATCTTCATATAAAAACTATACAGAAGCCTTCTGAGAAACATCTTTGTGAGGTTTGCATTCAACTCACAGAGCTGGACCTATCTCTTGAGTGACCAGTTTTGAATCTCTCTTTTTGTTCAATCTGCAAGTGGATATTTGGAGCGATTTGAGGCCTACATTTGAAAATCAAATATCTTCCCTTAAAAACTACACAGAAACATTCTCAGAAATTGTTTGTCATGTGGGCTTTCAAATTACCAAGTTGAACCTATCTTGTGATTGAGCAGTTCTGAATCTCTCTTTTTGTGGAATCTGCAAATGGATATTTTTAGCCCTTTGCGGACTGTGGTGGAAAAGGAATTATCTTCAAATCCATTCTACACAGAAGCATTCAGACAAACTTCTTGGTGATGAGTGCATTGGTCACACAGAATTGAACCTCTCCTTTGATTGAGCAATTCTGAAACACTCTTTCAGAGGGTCTGCAAGTGGATATTTTAGAGCTTTGGGACAATTGTGGAAAAGTAAATATCTTCACATAGAAACTACACGGAAGCATTCTGAGAAACTTCTTTGGAGGTGTGCATTCAACTCACAGAGTTGAACCTATCTTTTCATTGAGCAGTTTTGAATCTCTCTTTTTGTAGACTCTGCTTGCAGATATTTGGAGAGCTTTGAGGCCTATTGTGGAAAAGGGAATATGTTCACATAAAAACACACAGAAGCACTCTGAGAAACTTCTTTGTGAGGTGTGCATTCAACTCACAGAGTTGAACCTATCTTTTGATGGAGAAGTTTTGAATCTCTCTTTTTGTAGAAGCTGCATGTGGATATTTGGAGACGTTTGTGGCCTATGGTAGAAAAGGATATATCTTCAAATAAAAACTAGACAGAAGCATTTTGAGAAAATTCTCTGTGCTGTGTGCATTCATATCACATGGTTGAAACTACCTTTTGATTGAGCAGTTTCGAGTCTCTCTGTTTGTACCATCTGCAATGGATATTTGGAGCCCTTTGTGGTCTGTGGTGGAAAAGGAACTATCCTCAAATAAAAACTACATGGAAAGTATTCTGAGAAACTTCTTTGTGATGTGTGCATTTATCTCACAGAGTTGAACCTTTGGTTTGATTGAGCAGTTTTGAGATAATCTTTCCATAGAATCTGGAAGTGAATACTTGGATAACTTTGAGATCTATTTTGGAGAAGGAGATATCTTTATATAAAAACTGCACAGAAGCATTCTGAGAAACATCTTTGTGAGGTGTGCAATGAAGTCACAGAGTTGAAACTATGCTTTGATTCAGCAGTTTTGAGTCTCTCTTTTTGCAGAATCTGCGAGTGGATATCTGGAGAACTTGGAGGCCTATTTGGAAAAGGAAATATCTTCACATATAAACTATGCAGAAGCATTTTGAGATTCTTCTTTGTGAGGTGTGCATGCAACTCACAGAGTTGAACTTATCTTTTCCTTGAGCACTTTCGTATCTCATTTTCTGTAGAATCTGCAAGTGGATATTTGGAGCTCTTTGCACCCTGTGGTGGAAAGGGAACTATCTTCATATAAAAACTACAAAGAAGCATTCAGAGAAACTTCTTTGTGATGAATGCATTCCTCACACAGAGCTGAACGTTTCTTTTTATTGAGCAGTATTGAAACGCTCTTTTTGCAGAATCACCAAGTAGATATTTGGAGAGCTTTGGGGCCTGTTTTGGAAAATGAAATATCTTCAAAGTAAAACTACACAGAACCATTCTGAGAAACTTCTTTATGATGTGTGCATTCAACTCTCAGAGTTGAACCTACCTTATGACTGACCAATTTGGAAACACTCTTTTTGTAGAGCCTGCAAGTGGATATTTAGAACGATTTGAGGCCTATTGTGGAAAAGCAAATATCTTCACATAAAAACTACACAGAAGCATTCTGAGAAACTTCTTTGGCATGTGTGCATTCAACTAACAGTGTTGAACGTATCTTTTGATTGAGCAGCTTAGAATCTCTCTTTTTGTAGAAAATGCAAGTAGATATTTGGAGCCCCATTTTGCCCTATGGTAGAAAACAGAACATCTTCACATAAAAACTACACAGAAGCATTCTGAGAAACTTCTTTGTGATGTTTGCATTGAACTCCCAGAGTCGAACCTATCTTTTGATAGAGCACTTTTGTATCTCTCTTTTTGCGGAATCTGCAAGTGGATATTTGGAAAGCTTGAGGCCTATTGTGAAAAAGGAAATATCTTCACATAAAAACTACAGAGAAGCATTCTGAGAAACTTCTTTGTGAGGCATGGATTCAACCCACAGAGTTGGACTTATCATTGAGCAGTTTTGAATCTCTCTTTTTGTCGAATCTGCAAGTGGATATTTGGAGCCCTTTGCAACCTAGGGTGGAAAAGGAAATACCTTCAAATAAAAACTATATAGAAGCATTCCGTAAAACTTCTTTGTGACGTGTGCATTCGTCTCACAGAGTTGAACCTATCTAATGATTGAGCGGTTTTGAAACACTCATTTTGTAGAACCTGCAAGTGGATATTGGGAGTACTTTGTGGCCTTCTTTGGAAAAGGGAATATCTTCACATAAAAACTACAAAGAAGCATTCTGAGAAACTTCTTTGTGATGTGCGCATTCATCTCACAGTGTTGGACGTTTCTTTTGATAGGGCAGTTTTGAAACACTCTTTTTCTAGAATCTGCAAGTGGATATTTGGAGTGCTTTGAGGCCTAATGTGGAAAATCAAATATCTTCACATAAAAACTACACAGAGGCATTCTGAGAAACTTCTTTTTTGTGTGTGCATTCAACTCACATAGTTGAAGTTATCTTTCGATTTAGCTGTTTTGAATCTCCTTTTTGCAGAATCTGCAAGTTGATACATGGAGCCCTGTTTCACCCTATAGTGGAAAAGCAAATATCTTCACATAAACAAACACTACAGAGAAAGCATTCAGAGAAAGTCCTTTGTGATGTGTGCATTGAACACGCAGAGTTGAAACTATCTTTTGATTGTACAGTTTTGAATATCTCTTTTTGTAGAATCTGCAAGTGGAAGTTTGGAGCTGTTTGCACGCTGTGGTGCAAAAGGAAATATCTTCATATAAAAACTACACAGAAGCTTTCAGAGAGACTTCTTTGTGAGGAATGCGTTCCTCACACAGAGTTGAATCTACCTTTTTATTGAGTAGTTTTGAAACCCTCTTTTTGCAGAATAACCAGGGGGATATTTGGAGAGCTTTGAGGCCTGTTTTGGAAAAGGAAATATCTTCAAATTAAAACCACACAGAAGCATTCTGAGAAACTTCTTTGTGATGTGTGCATTCAACTCTCAGAGTTGAACGTGTCTTATGATGGAGCAGTTTGGAAACACTCTTTTTGTAGAAACTGCAAGTGGATATGTAGAGCGATTTGAGGCCTACTGTGGAAAAGCAAATATCTTCACATAACAACTACACAGAAGCACTCCTAGAAACTTCTTTGTGATGTGTGAATTCAACTCACAGAGCTGAACCTATCTTTTGATGGAGTAGCTTAGAATGTCTCTTTTTTTAGAATCTGCACGTGGATATTTGGAGCGCTTTGAGACCTAAAGTGGAAAAGCAAATATCTTCACATAAAATCTACATAGAGGCACTCTAAGAAACTTCTTTTTGATGTGTGCATTCAACTCACAGAGCGGAAGCACACAGTGCTTGAGTGACCAGTTTTGAATCTCTCTTTTTGTACAATCTGCAAGTGGATATTGGGAGCCCTTTGCGGCCTGTGGTGGAAAAGGAAATATCTTCAAATAAAAACTACACAGAAGCATTCTGAGAAACTTCTTTGTGATGTGTACATTCATCTCACAGAGTTGACACTTTCTTTTGATTGAGCAGTTTTGAAACACTGCTTTTGTAGAGTCTGGAAGTTGATATTTGGAGGGCTTTGAGGTCTATTTCGGAAAAGAAAATATCTTCACTTAAAAACTACGCAGAAATACTGTGAGAAACTTCTTTGTTATGTGAGCATTCAACTCACAGAGCTGAACCTATCTTTTGATTGAGCAGTTTTGAATCTCTCATTTTGCAGAATCTGCAAGAGGATATTTGGAGCCCTTTGCTACCTAGGGTGGAAAAGGAAATACCTTCAAATAAAAACTACACAGAGGCATTCTGAGAAACTTCTTGTGATTGTGCATTCAACTCACAGAGTTAAACCTATCTTATGATTGACCAGTTTTGGAACACTGTTTTCATAGGATCTGCAAGTGGATATTTGGTGTGCTTTGAGGCCTATCGTGGAAAAGCAAGTAACTTCAGATAAAAACTATACAGAAGCATTCTGAGAAACTTCTTTGTGATGTGTGCATTGATCTCACAGAGTTGAAAGTGTATTTTGATTGAGCAGTTTTAAAACACTCCTTCTGTAGAATCTGCAAGTGGATAATTGGAGAGATTTGAGGTATGTTGTGGAAAAGCAAATATCTTCATATAAAAACTATACAGAAGCCTTCTGAGAAACATCTTTGTGAGGTTTGCATTCAACTCACAGAGCTGGACCTATCTCTTGAGTGACCAGTTTTGAATCTCTCTTTTTGTTCAATCTGCAAGTGGATATTTGGAGCGATTTGAGGCCTACATTTGAAAATCAAATATCTTCCCTTAAAAACTACACAGAAACATTCTCAGAAATTGTTTGTCATGTGGGCTTTCAAATTACCAAGTTGAACCTATCTTGTGATTGAGCAGTTCTGAATCTCTCTTTTTGTGGAATCTGCAAATGGATATTTTTAGCCCTTTGCGGACTGTGGTGGAAAAGGAATTATCTTCAAATCCATTCTACACAGAAGCATTCAGACAAACTTCTTGGTGATGAGTGCATTGGTCACACAGAATTGAACCTCTCCTTTGATTGAGCAATTCTGAAACACTCTTTCAGAGGGTCTGCAAGTGGATATTTTAGAGCTTTGGGACAATTGTGGAAAAGTAAATATCTTCACATAGAAACTACACGGAAGCATTCTGAGAAACTTCTTTGGAGGTGTGCATTCAACTCACAGAGTTGAACCTATCTTTTCATTGAGCAGTTTTGAATCTCTCTTTTTGTAGACTCTGCTTGCAGATATTTGGAGAGCTTTGAGGCCTATTGTGGAAAAGGGAATATGTTCACATAAAAACACACAGAAGCACTCTGAGAAACTTCTTTGTGAGGTGTGCATTCAACTCACAGAGTTGAACCTATCTTTTGATGGAGAAGTTTTGAATCTCTCTTTTTGTAGAAGCTGCATGTGGATATTTGGAGACGTTTGTGGCCTATGGTAGAAAAGGATATATCTTCAAATAAAAACTAGACAGAAGCATTTTGAGAAAATTCTCTGTGCTGTGTGCATTCATATCACATGGTTGAAACTACCTTTTGATTGAGCAGTTTCGAGTCTCTCTGTTTGTACCATCTGCAATGGATATTTGGAGCCCTTTGTGGTCTGTGGTGGAAAAGGAACTATCCTCAAATAAAAACTACACGGAAGTATTCTGAGAAACTTCTTTGTGATGTGTGCATTTATCTCACAGAGTTGAACCTTTGGTTTGATTGAGCAGTTTTGAGATAATCTTTCCATAGAATCTGGAAGTGAATACTTGGATAACTTTGAGATCTATTTTGGAGAAGGAGATATCTTTATATAAAAACTGCACAGAAGCATTCTGAGAAACATCTTTGTGAGGTGTGCAATGAAGTCACAGAGTTGAAACTATCTTTTGATTCAGCAGTTTTGAGTCTCTCTTTTTGCAGAATCTGCGAGTGGATATCTGGAGAACGTTGAGGCCTACTTGGAAAAGGAAATATCTTCACATAAAAACTACGCAGAAGCATTTTGAGATACTTCTTTGTGAGGTGTGCATTCAACTCACAGAGTTGAACTTATCTTTCCATGGAGCACTTTCATATCTCTTTTTTTGTGGAATCTGCAAGTGGATATTTGGAGCTCTTTGCACCCTGTGGTGGAAAGGGAAATATCTTCATATAAAAACTACAAAGAAGCATTCAGAGAAACTTCTTTGTGATGAATGCATTCCTCACACAGAGTTGAGCCTTTCTTTTTATTGAGCAGTATTGAAACGCTCCTTTTGCAGAATCACCAAGTGGATATTTGGAGAGCTTTGGGGCCTGATTTGGAAAATGAAATATCTTCAAAGTAAAACCACACAGAACCATTCTGAGAAACTTCTTCATGATGTGAGCATTCAACTCTCAGAGTTGAAGCTACCTTATGATTGAGCAATTTGGAAACACTCTTTTTGTAGAGCCTGCAAGTGGATATTTAGAACGATTTGAGGCCTATTGTGGAAAAGCAAATATCTTCACATAAAAACTACACAGAAGCATTCTGAGAAACTTCTTTGGCATGTGTGCATTCAACTAACAGTGTTGAACGTATCTTTTGATTGAGCAGCTTAGAATCTCTCTTTTTGTAGAAAATGCAAGTAGATATTTGGAGCCCCATTTTGCCCTATGGTAGAAAACAGAACATCTTCACATAAAAACTACACAGAAGCATTCTGAGAAACTTCTTTGTGATGTTTGCATTGAACTCCCAGAGTCGAACCTATCTTTTGATAGAGCACTTTTGTATCTCTCTTTTTGCGGAATCTGCAAGTGGATATTTGGAAAGCTTGAGACCTATTGTGAAAAAGGAAATATCTTCACATAAAAACTACAGAGAAGCATTCTGAGAAACTTCTTTGTGAGGCATGGATTCAACCCACAGAGTTGGACTTATCATTGAGCAGTTTTGAATCTCTCTTTTTGTCGAATCTGCAAGTGGATATTTGGAGCCCTTGGCAACCTAGGGTGGAAAAGGAAATACCTTCAAATAAAAACTATATAGAAGCATTCCGTAAAACTTCTTTGTGACGTGTGCATTCGTCTCACAGAGTTGAACCTATCTAATGATTGAGCGGTTTTGAAACACTCATTTTGTAGAACCTGCAAGTGGATATTGGGAGTACTTTGTGGCCTTCTTTGGAAAAGGGAATATCTTCACATAAAAATTACAAAGAAGCATTCTGAGAAACTTCTTTTGTGATGTGTGCATTCATCTCACAGTGTTGGACGTTTCTTTTGATAGGGCAGTTTTGAAACACTCTTTTTCTAGAATCTGCAAGTGGATATTTAGAGCGCTTTGAGGCCTAATGTGGAAAATCAAATATCTTCACATAAAAACTACACAGAGGCATTCTGAGAAACTTCTTTTTTGTGTGTGCATTCAACTCACATAGTTGAAGTAATCTTTGGATTTAGCTGTTTTGAATCTCCTTTTTGCAGAATCTGCAAGTTGATACTTGGAGCCCTGTTTCACCCTATAGTGGAAAAGCAAATATCTTCACATAAACAAACCCTACAGAGAAGCATTCAGAGAAAGTCCTTTGTGATGTGTGCATTGAACATGCAGAGTTGACACTATCTTTTGATTGTACAGTTTTGAATACGTCTTTTTGTAGAATCTGCAAGTGGAAGTTTGGAGCTGTTTGCACCCTGTGGTGTAAAAGGAAATATCTTCATATAAAAGCTACACAGAAGCATTCAGAAAGACTTCTTTGTGATGAATGCGTTCCTCACACAGAGTTGAATCTTCCTTTTTATTGAGTAGTATTGAAACCCTCTTTTTGCAGAATAACCAGGTGGATATTCGGAGAGCTTTGAGGCCTGTTTTGGAAAAGGAAATATCTTCAAATTAAAACCACACAGAAGCATTCTGAGAAGCTTCTTTGTGATGTGTGCATTCAACTCTCAGAGTTGAACGTGTCTTATGATGGAGCAGTTTGGAAACACTCTTTTTGTAGAAACTGCAAGTGGATATGTAGAGCGATTTGAGGCCTACTGTGGTAAAGCAAATATACTTCACATAACAACTACACAGAAGCACTCCTAGAAACTTCTTTGTGATGTGTGAATTCAACTCACAGAGCTGAACCTATCTTTTGATGGAGTAGCTTAGAATCTCTCTTTTTTTAGAATCTGCACGTGGATATTTGGAGCGCTTTGAGACCTAAAGTGGAAAAGCAAATATCTTCACATAAAATCTACATAGAGGCACTCTAAGAAACTTCTTTTTGATGTGTGCATTCACCTCACAGAGCTGAACCGATCCTTTGAGTGACCAGTTTTGAATCTCTCTTTTTGTACAATCTGCAAGTGGATATTTGGAGCCCTTTGCGGCCTATGGTGGAAAAGGAAATATCTTCAAATAAAAACTACACAGAAATACTGTGAGAAACTTCTTTGTTATGTGAGCATTCAACTCACAGAGTTGAACCTATCTTTTGATTGAGCAGTTTTGAATCTCTCATTTTGCAGAATCTGCAAGGGGATATTTGGAGCCCTTTGCGGCCTATGGTGGAAAAGGAAATACCTTCAAATGAAAAGCACACAGAGGCATTCTGAGAAACTTCCTCGTGATTGTGCATTCAACTCACAGAGTTAAACCTATCTTATGATTGACCAGTTTTGGAACACTCTTTTCATAGGATCTGCAAGTGGATATTTGGCGTGCTTTGAGGCCTATCGTGGAAAAGCAAACTATACAGAAGCATTCTGAGAAACTTCTTTGTGATGTGTGCATTGATCTCACAGAGTTGAAAGTGTATTTTGATTGAGCAGTTTTGAAACACTCTTTTTGTAGAATCTGCAAGTGGATAATTGGGGAGATTTGAGGTATATTGTGGAAAAGCAAGTATCTTCATATAAAAACTATACAGAAGCTTTCTGAGAAACATCTTTGTGAGGTTTGCATTCAACTCACAGAGCTGGAACTATCTTTTGAGTGACCAGTTTTGAATCTCTCTTTTTGTACAATCTGCAAGTGGATATTTGGAGCGTTTTGAGGCCTACATTTGAAAATCAAATATCTTCCCTTAAAAGCTACACAGAAACATTCTCAGAAATTGTTTGTCATGTGTGCTTTCAAATTACCAAGTTGAACCTACCTTGTGATTGAGCAGTTTTGAATCTCTCTTTTTGTGGAATCTGCAAGTGGATATTTTTAGCCATTTGCGGACTGTGGTGGAAAAGGAATTATCTTCAAATCCATTCTACACAGAAGCATTCAGACAAACTTTTTGTGATGAGTGCATTGGTCACACAGAATTGAACCTCTCCTTTGATTGAGCAATTCTGAAACACTCTTTCAGAGGGTCTGCAAGTGGATATTTTAGAGCTTTGGGACAATTGTGGAAAAGTAAATATCTTCACATAAAAACTACACGGAAGCATTCTGAGAAACTTCTTTGGAGGTGTGCATTCAACTCACAGAGTTGAACCTATCTTTTCATTGAGCAGTTTTGAATCTCTCTTTTTGTAGACTCTGCTTGCAGATATTTGGAGAGCTTTGAGGCCTATTGTGGAAAAGGGATCATCTTCACATAAAAACACACAGAAGCACTCTGAGAAACTTCTTTGTGAAGTGTGCATTCAACTCACAGAGTTGAACCTATCTTTTGATTGAGAAGCTTTGAATCTCTCTTTTTGTAGAAGCTGCATGTGGATATTTGGAGACGTTTGTGGCCTATGGTAGAAAAGGCAATATCTTCAAATAAAAACTAGACAGAAGCATTTTGAGAAATTTCTCTGTGCTGTGTGCATTCATATCACATGGTTGAAACTACCTTTTGATTGAGCAGTTTTGAATCTCTCTTTTTGTACCATCTGCAATGGATATTTGGAGCCCTTTGTGGTCTGTGGTGGAAAAGGAACTATCCTCAAATAAAAACTACACAGAAGTATTCCGAGAAACTTCCTTGTGATGTGTGCATTCATCTCATAGGGTTGAACCTTTGGTTTGATTGAGCAGTTTTGAGACAATCTTTCCATAGAATCTGGAAGTGAATATTTGGAGAACCTTGAGATCTATTTTGGAGAAGGAGATATCTTTATATAAAAACTGCACAGAAGCATTCTGAGAAACATCTTTGTGAGGTGTGCAATGAAGTCACAGAGTTGAAACTATGCTTTGATTCAGCAGTTTTGAGTCTCTCTTTTTGCAGAATCTGCGAGTGGATATCTGGAGAACTTGGAGGCCTATTTGGAAAAGGAAATATCTTCACATATAAACTATGCAGAAGCATTTTGAGATACTTCTTTGTGAGGTGTGCATTCAACTCACAGAGTTGAACTTATCATTTCATTGAGCACATTCATATCTCTTTTTTTGTAGAATCTGCAAGTGGATATTTGGAGCTCTTTGCACCCTGTGGTGGAAAGGGAAATATCTTCATATAAAAACTACAAAGAAGCATGCAGAGAAACTTCTTTGTGATGAATGCATTCCTCACACAGAGTTGAACCTTTCTTTTTATTGAGCAGTATTGAAACGCTCTTTTTGCAGAATCACCAAGTGGATATTTGGAGAGCTTTGGGGCCTCATTTGGAAAATGAAATATCTTCAAAGTAAAACTACACAGAACCATTCTGAGAAACTTCTTTATGATGTGAGCATTCAACTCTCAGAGTTGAAGCTACCTTATGATTGAGCAATTTGGAAACACTCTTTTTGTAGAGCCTGCAAGTGGATATTTAGAACGATTTGAGGCCTATTGTGGAAAAGCAAATATCTTCACATAAAAACTACACAGAAGCATTCTGAGAAACTTCGTTGGGATGTGTGCATTCAAATAACAGTGTTGAACCTATCTTTTGATTGAGCAGCTTAGAATCTCTCCTTTTGTAGAAAATGCAAGTAGAGATTTGGAGCCCCATTTCGCCCTATGGTAGAAAACAGAACATCTTCACATAAAAACTACACAGAAGCATTCTGAGAAACTTCTTTGTGATGTTTGCATTGAACTCACAGAGTCGAACCTATCTTTTGATAGAGCAGTTTTGTATCTCTCTTTTTGCAGAATCTGCAAGTGGATATTTGGAAAGCTTGAGGCCTATTGTGAAAAAGGAAATATCTTCACATAGAAACTACAGAGAAGCATTCTGAGAAACTTCTCTGTGAGGCATGGATTCAACCAACAGAGTTGGACTTACCATTGAGCAGTTTTGAATCTCTCTTTTGGTCGAATCTGCAAGTGGGTATTTGGAGCCCTTTTGCAACCTATGGCGGAAAAGGAAACACCTTCACCTAAAAACTATATAGAAGCATTCCGAAAAACTTCTTTGTGATGTGTGCATTCATCTCACAGAGTTGAACCTATCTAATGATTGAGCAGTTTTGAAACACTCATTTTGTAGAACCTGGAAGTGGATATTGGGAGTAGTTTGTGGCCTTCTTTGGAAAAGGAAATATCTTCACATGAAAACTACAAAGAAGCATTCTGAGAAACTTCTTTGTGATGTGTGCATGCATCTCACAGTGTTGGACGTTTCTTTTGATGGGGCAGTTTCGAAAGAGTCTTCTTGTAGAGTCTGCAAGTGGATATTTGGAGCGCTTTGAGGCCTAATGTGGAAAATCAAATATCTTCACATAAAAACTACACAGAGGCATTCTGAGAAACTTCTTTTTTGTGTGTGCATTCAACTCACATAGTTGAAGTTATCTTTCGATTTAGCTGTTTTGAATCTCCTTTTTGCAGAATCTGCAAGTTGATACCTGGAGCCCTGTTTCACCCTATAGTGGAAAAGCAAATATCTTCACATAAACAAACACTACAGAGAAGCATTCAGAGAAAGTCCTTTGTGATGTGTGCATTGAACACGCAGAGTTGAAACTATCTTTTGATTGTACAGTTTTGAATATCTCTTTTTGTAGAATCTGCAAGTGGAAGTTTGGAGCTGTTTGCACGCTGTGGTGCAAAAGGAAATATCTTCATATAAAAACTACACAGAAGCTTTCAGAGAGACTTCTTTGTGAGGAATGCGTTCCTCACACAGAGTTGAATCTACCTTTTTATTGAGTAGTTTTGAAACCCTCTTTTTGCAGAATAACCAGGGGGATATTTGGAGAGCTTTGAGGCCTGTTTTGGAAAAGGAAATATCTTCAAATTAAAACCACACAGAAGCATTCTGAGAAACTTCTTTGTGATGTGTGCATTCAACTCTCAGAGTTGAACGTGTCTTATGATGGAGCAGTTTGGAAACACTCTTTTTGTAGAAACTGCAAGTGGATATGTAGAGCGATTTGAGGCCTACTGTGGAAAAGCAAATATCTTCACATAACAACTACACAGAAGCACTCCTAGAAACTTCTTTGTGATGTGTGAATTCAACTCACAGAGCTGAACCTATCTTTTGATGGAGTAGCTTAGAATCTCTCTTTTTTTAGAATCTGCACGTGGATATTTGGGGCGCTTTGAGACCTGAAGTGGAAAAGCAAATATCTTCATATAAAATCTACGTAGAGGCACTCTAAGAAACTTCTTTTTGATGTGTGCATTCAACTCACAGAGCTGAAGCACACAGTGCTTGAGTGACCAGTTTTGAATCTCTCTTTTTGTACAATCTGCAAGTGGATATTGGGAGCCCTTTGCGGCCTGTGGTGGAAAAGGAAATATCTTCAAATAAAAACTACACAGAAGCATTCTGAGAAACTTCTTTGTGATGTGTACATTCATCTCACAGAGTTGACAATTTCTTTTGATTGAGCAGTTTTGAAACACTGCTTTTGTAGAGTCTGGAAGTTGATATTTGGAGGGCTTTGAGGTCTATTTCGGAAAAGAAAATATCTTCACTTAAAAACTAGGCAGAAATACTGTGAGAAACTTCTTTGTTATGTGAGCATTCAACTCACAGAGCTGAACTTATCTTTTGATTGAGCAGTTTTGAATCTCTCATTTTGCAGAATCTGCAAGGGGATATTTGGAGCCCTTTGCTACCTAGGGTGGAAAAGGAAATACCTCCAAATAAAAACTACACAGAGGCATTCTGAGAAACTTCCTCGTGATTGTGCATTCAACTCACAGAGTTAAACCTATCTTATGATTGACCAGTTTTGGAACACTCTTTTCATAGGATCTGCAAGTGGATATTTGGCGTGCTTTGAGGCCTATCGTGGAAAAGCAAATAACTTCAGATAAAAACTATACAGAAGCATTCTGAGAAACTTCTTTGTGATGTGTGCATTGATCTCACAGAGTTGAAAGTGTATTTTGATTGAGCAGTTTTGAAACACTCTTTTTGTAGAATCTGCAAGTGGATAATTGGGGAGATTTGAGGTATATTGTGGAAAAGCAAGTATCTTCATATAAAAACTATACAGAAGCTTTCTGAGAAACATCTTTGTGAGGTTTGCATTCAACTCACAGAGCTGGAACTATCTTTTGAGTGACCAGTTTTGAATCTCTCTTTTTGTACAATCTGCAAGTGGATATTTGGAGCGTTTTGAGGCCTACATTTGAAAATCAAATATCTTCCCTTAAAAGCTACACAGAAACATTCTCAGAAATTGTTTGTCATGTGTGCTTTCAAATTACCAAGTTGAACCTACCTTGTGATTGAGCAGTTTTGAATCTCTCTTTTTGTGGAATCTGCAAGTGGATATTTTTAGCCATTTGCGGACTGTGGTGGAAAAGGAATTATCTTCAAATCCATTCTACACAGAAGCATTCAGACAAACTTTTTGTGATGAGTGCATTGGTCACACAGAATTGAACCTCTCCTTTGATTGAGCAATTCTGAAACACTCTTTCAGAGGGTCTGCAAGTGGATATTTTAGAGCTTTGGGACAATTGTGGAAAAGTAAATATCTTCACATAGAAACTACACGGAAGCATTCTGAGAAACTTCTTTGGAGGTGTGCATTCAACTCACAGAGTTGAACCTATCTTTTCATTGAGCAGTTTTGAATCTCTCTTTTTGTAGACTCTGCTTGCAGATACTTGGAGAGCTTTGAGGCCTATTGTGGAAAAGGAATCATCTTCACATAAAAACACACAGAAGCACTCTGAGAAACTTCTTTGTGAAGTGTGCATTCAACTCACAGAGTTGAACCTATCTTTTGATTGAGAAGCTTTGAATCTCTCTTTTTGTAGAAGCTGCATGTGGATATTTGGAGACGTTTGTGGCCTATGGTAGAAAAGGCAATATCTTCAAATAAAAACTAGACAGAAGCATTTTGAGAAATTTCTCTGTGCTGTGTGCATTCATATCACATGGTTGAAACTACCTTTTGGTTGAGCAGTTTTGAATCTCTCTTTTTGTAACATCTGCAATGGATATTTGGAGCCCTTTGTGGTCTGTGGTGGAAAAGGAACTATCCTCAAATAAAAACTACACAGAAGTATTCCGAGAAACTTCCTTGTGATGTGTGCATTCATCTCACAGGGTTGAACCTTTGGTTTGATTGAGCAGTTTTGAGACAATCTTTCCATAGAATCTGGAAGTGAATATTTGGAGAACCTTGAGATCTATTTTGGAGAAGGAGATATCTTTATATGAAAACTGCACAGAAGCATTCTGAGAAACATCTTTGTGAGGTGTGCAATGAAGTCACAGAGTTGAAACTATGTTTTGATTCAGCAGTTTTGAGTCTCTCTTTTTGCAGAATCTGCGAGTGGATATCTGGAGAACTTGGAGGCCTATTTGGAAAAGGAAATATCTTCACATATAAACTATGCAGAAGCATTTTGAGATTCTTCTTTGTGAGGTGTGCATGCAACTCACAGAGTTGAACTTATCTTTTCCTTGAGCACTTTCATATCTCATTTTCTGTAGAATCTGCAAGTGGATATTTGGAGCTCTTTGCACCCTGTGGTGGAAAGGGAACTATCTTCATATAAAAACTACAAAGAAGCATTCAGAGAAACTTCTTGTGATGAATGCATTCCTCACACAGAGCTGAACCTTTCTTTTTATGGAGCAGTATTGAAACGCTCTTTTTGCAGAATCACCAAGTGGATATTTGGAGAGCTTTGGGGCCTGTTTTGGAAAATGAAATATCTTCAAAGTAAAACTACACAGAACCATTCTGAGAAACTTCTTTATGATGTGTGCATTCAACTCTCAGAGTTGAACCTACCTTATGATTGAGCAATTTGGAAACACTCTTTTTGTAGAGCCTGCAAGTGGATATTTAGAACGATTTGAGGCCTATTGTGGAAAAGCAAATATCTTCACATAAAAACTACACAGAAGCATTCTGAGAAACTTCTTTGGCATGTGTGCATTCAACTAACAGTGTTGAACGTATCTTTTGATTGAGCAGCTTAGAATCTCTCTTTTTGTAGAAAATGCAAGTAGATATTTGGAGCCCCATTTTGCCCTATGGTAGAAAACAGAACATCTTCACATAAAAACTACACAGAAGCATTCTGAGAAACTTCTTTGTGATGTTTGCATTGAACTCCCAGAGTCGAACCTATCTTTTGATAGAGCACTTTTGTATCTCTCTTTTTGCGGAATCTGCAAGTGGATATTTGGAAAGCTTGAGGCCTATTGTGAAAAAGGAAATATCTTCACATAAAAACTACAGAGAAGCATTCTGAGAAACTTCTTTGTGAGGCATGGATTCAACCCACAGAGTTGGACTTATCATTGAGCAGTTTTGAATCTCTCTTTTTGTCGAATCTGCAAGTGGATATTTGGAGCCCTTTGCAACCTAGGGTGGAAAAGGAAATACCTTCAAATAAAAACTATATAGAAGCATTCCGTAAAACTTCTTTGTGACGTGTGCATTCGTCTCACAGAGTTGAACCTATCTAATGATTGAGCGGTTTTGAAACACTCATTTTGTAGAACCTGCAAGTGGATATTGGGAGTACTTTGTGGCCTTCTTTGGAAAAGGGAATATCTTCACATAAAAATTACAAAGAAGCATTCTGAGAAACTTCTTTGTGATGTGTGCATTCATCTCACAGTGTTGGACGTTTCTTTTGATAGGGCAGTTTTGAAACACTCTTTTTCTAGAATCTGCAAGTGGATATTTAGAGCGCTTTGAGGCCTAATGTGGAAAATCAAATATCTTCACATAAAAACTACACAGAGGCATTCTGAGAAACTTCTTTTTTGTGTGTGCATTCAACTCACATAGTTGAAGTAATCTTTGGATTTAGCTGTTTTGAATCTCCTTTTTGCAGAATCTGCAAGTTGATACTTGGAGCCCTGTTTCACCCTATAGTGGAAAAGCAAATATCTTCACATAAACAAACCCTACAGAGAAGCATTCAGAGAAAGTCCTTTGTGATGTGTGCATTGAACATGCAGAGTTGACACTATCTTTTGATTGTACAGTTTTGAATACGTCTTTTTGTAGAATCTGCAAGTGGAAGTTTGGAGCTGTTTGCACCCTGTGGTGTAAAAGGAAATATCTTCATATAAAAGCTACACAGAAGCATTCAGAAAGACTTCTTTGTGATGAATGCGTTCCTCACACAGAGTTGAATCTTCCTTTTTATTGAGTAGTATTGAAACCCTCTTTTTGCAGAATAACCAGGTGGATATTTGGAGAGCTTTGAGGCCTGTTTTGGAAAAGCAAATATCTTCAAATTAAAACCACACAGAAGCATTCTGAGAAGCTTCTTTGTGATGTGTGCATTCAACTCTCAGAGTTCAACGTGTCTTATGATGGAGCAGTTTGGAAACACTCTTTTTTGTAGAAACTGCAAGTGGATATGTAGAGCGATTTGAGGCCTACTGTGGAAAAGCAAATATCTTCACATAACAACTACACAGAAGCACTCCTAGAAACTTCTTTGTGATGTGTGAATTCAACTCACAGAGCTGAACCTATCTTTTGATGGAGTAGCTTAGAATGTCTCTTTTTTTAGAATCTGCACGTGGATATTTGGAGCGCTTTGAGACCTAAAGTGGAAAAGCAAATATCTTCACATAAAATCTACATAGAGGCACTCTAAGAAACTTCTTTTTGATGTGTGCATTCAACTCACAGAGCGGAAGCACACAGTGCTTGAGTGACCAGTTTTGAATCTCTCTTTTTGTACAATCTGCAAGTGGATATTGGGAGCCCTTTGCGGCCTGTGGTGGAAAAGGAAATATCTTCAAATAAAAACTACACAGAAGCATTCTGAGAAACTTCTTTGTGATGTGTACATTCATCTCACAGAGTTGACAATTTCTTTTGATTGAGCAGTTTTGAAACACTGCTTTTGTAGAGTCTGGAAGTTGATATTTGGAGGGCTTTGAGGTCTATTTCGGAAAAGAAAATATCTTCACTTAAAAACTAGGCAGAAATACTGTGAGAAACTTCTTTGTTATGTGAGCATTCAACTCACAGAGCTGAACCTATCTTTTGATTGAGCAGTTTTGAATCTCTCATTTTGCAGAATCTGCAAGGGGATATTTGGAGCCCTTTGCTACCTAGGGTGGAAAAGGAAATACCTCCAAATAAAAACTACACAGAGGCATTCTGAGAAACTTCTTGTGATTGTGCATTCAACTCACAGAGTTAAACCTATCTTATGATTGACCAGTTTTGGAACACTGTTTTCACAGGATCTGCAAGTGGATATTTGGTGTGCTTTGAGGCCTATCGTGGAAAAGCAAGTAACTTCAGATAAAAACTATACAGAAGCATTCTGAGAAACTTCTTTGTGATGTGTGCATTGATCTCACAGAGTTGAAAGTGTATTTTGATTGAGCAGTTTTAAAACACTCCTTCTGTAGAATCTGCAAGTGGATAATTGGAGAGATTTGAGGTATGTTGTGGAAAAGCAAATATCTTCATATAAAAACTATACAGAAGCCTTCTGAGAAACATCTTTGTGAGGTTTGCATTCAACTCACAGAGCTGGACCTATCTCTTGAGTGACCAGTTTTGAATCTCTCTTTTTGTTCAATCTGCAAGTGGATATTTGGAGCGATTTGAGGCCTACATTTGAAAATCAAATATCTTCCCTTAAAAACTACACAGAAACATTCTCAGAAATTGTTTGTCATGTGGGCTTTCAAATTACCAAGTTGAACCTATCTTGTGATTGAGCAGTTCTGAATCTCTCTTTTTGTGGAATCTGCAAATGGATATTTTTAGCCCTTTGCGGACTGTGGTGGAAAAGGAATTATCTTCAAATCCATTCTACACAGAAGCATTCAGACAAACTTCTTGGTGATGAGTGCATTGGTCACACAGAATTGAACCTCTCCTTTGATTGAGCAATTCTGAAACACTCTTTCAGAGGGTCTGCAAGTGGATATTTTAGAGCTTTGGGACAATTGTGGAAAAGTAAATATCTTCACATAGAAACTACACGGAAGCATTCTGAGAAACTTCTTTGGAGGTGTGCATTCAACTCACAGAGTTGAACCTATCTTTTCATTGAGCAGTTTTGAATCTCTCTTTTTGTAGACTCTGCTTGCAGATATTTGGAGAGCTTTGAGGCCTATTGTGGAAAAGGGAATATGTTCACATAAAAACACACAGAAGCACTCTGAGAAACTTCTTTGTGAGGTGTGCATTCAACTCACAGAGTTGAACCTATCTTTTGATGGAGAAGTTTTGAATCTCTCTTTTTGTAGAAGCTGCATGTGGATATTTGGAGACGTTTGTGGCCTATGGTAGAAAAGGATATATCTTCAAATAAAAACTAGACAGAAGCATTTTGAGAAAATTCTCTGTGCTGTGTGCATTCATATCACATGGTTGAAACTACCTTTTGATTGAGCAGTTTCGAGTCTCTCTGTTTGTACCATCTGCAATGGATATTTGGAGCCCTTTGTGGTCTGTGGTGGAAAAGGAACTATCCTCAAATAAAAACTACACGGAAGTATTCTGAGAAACTTCTTTGTGATGTGTGCATTTATCTCACAGAGTTGAACCTTTGGTTTGATTGAGCAGTTTTGAGATAATCTTTCCATAGAATCTGGAAGTGAATACTTGGATAACTTTGAGATCTATTTTGGAGAAGGAGATATCTTTATATAAAAACTGCACAGAAGCATTCTGAGAAACATCTTTGTGAGGTGTGCAATGAAGTCACAGAGTTGAAACTATCTTTTGATTCAGCAGTTTTGAGTCTCTCTTTTTGCAGAATCTGCGAGTGGATATCTGGAGAACGTTGAGGCCTACTTGGAAAAGGAAATATCTTCACATAAAAACTACGCAGAAGCATTTTGAGATACTTCTTTGTGAGGTGTGCATTCAACTCACAGAGTTGAACTTATCTTTCCATGGAGCACTTTCATATCTCTTTTTTTGTGGAATCTGCAAGTGGATATTTGGAGCTCTTTGCACCCTGTGGTGGAAAGGGAAATATCTTCATATAAAAACTACAAAGAAGCATTCAGAGAAACTTCTTTGTGATGAATGCATTCCTCACACAGAGTTGAGCCTTTCTTTTTATTGAGCAGTATTGAAACGCTCCTTTTGCAGAATCACCAAGTGGATATTTGGAGAGCTTTGGGGCCTGATTTGGAAAATGAAATATCTTCAAAGTAAAACTACACAGAACCATTCTGAGAAACTTCTTCATGATGTGAGCATTCAACTCTCAGAGTTGAAGCTACCTTATGATTGAGCAATTTGGAAACACTCTTTTTGTAGAGCCTGCAAGTGGATATTTAGAACGATTTGAGGCCTATTGTGGAAAAGCAAATATCTTCACATAAAAACTACACAGAAGCATTCTCAGAGACTTCTTTGGGATGTGTGCATTCAACTAACAGTGTTGAACCTATCTTTTGATTGAGCAGCTTAGAATCTCTCCTTTTGTAGAAAATGCAAGTAGAGATTTGGAGCCCCATTTCGCCCTATGGTAGAAAACAGAACATCTTCACATAAAAACTACGCAGAAGCATTCTGAGAAACTTCTTTGTGATGTTTGCATTGAACTCCCAGAGTCGAACCTATCTTTTGATAGAGCAGTTTTGTATCTCTCTTTTTGCAGAATCTGCAAGTGGATATTTGGAAAGCTTGAGGCCTATTGTGAAAAAGGAAATATCTTCACATAGAAACTACAGAGAAGCATTCTGAGAAACTTCTCTGTGAGGCATGGATTCAACCCACAGAGTTGGACTTATCATTGAGCAGTTTTGAATCTCTCTTTTGGTCGAATCTGCAAGTGGATATTTGGAGCCCTTTTGCAACCTATGGTGGAAAAGGAAACACCTTCACATAAAAACTATATAGAAGCATTCCGAAAAACTTCTTTGTGATGTGTGCATTCATCTCACAGAGTTGAACCTATCTAATGATTGAGCAGTTTTGAAACACTCATTTTGTAGAACCTGGAAGTGGATATTGGGAGTAGTTTGTGGCCTTCTTTGGAAAAGGAAATATCTTCACATGAAAACTACAAAGAAGCATTCTGAGAAACTTCTTTGTGATGTGTGCATGCATCTCACAGTGTTGGACGTTTCTTTTGATGGGGCAGTTTCGAAAGAGTCTTCTTGTAGAGTCTGCAAGTGGATATTTGGAGCGCTTTGAGGCCTAATGTGGAAAATCAAATATCTTCACATAAAAACTACACAGAGGCATTCTGAGAAACTTCTTTTTTGTGTGTGCATTCAACTCACATAGTTGAAGTTATCTTTCGATTTAGCTGTTTTGAATCTCCTTTTTGCAGAATCTGCAAGTTGATACCTGGAGCCCTGTTTCACCCTATAGTGGAAAAGCAAATATCTCCACATAAACAAACACTACAGAGAAGCATTCAGAGAAAGTCCTTTGTGATGTGTGCATTGAACACGCAGAGTTGAAACTATCTTTTGATTGTACAGTTTTGAATATCTCTTTTTGTAGAATCTGCAAGTGGAAGTTTGGAGCTGTTTGCACGCTGTGGTGCAAAAGGAAATATCTTCATATAAAAACTACACAGAAGCTTTCAGAGAGACTTCTTTGTGAGGAATGCGTTCCTCACACAGAGTTGAATCTACCTTTTTATTGAGTAGTTTTGAAACCCTCTTTTTGCAGAATAACCAGGGGGATATTTGGAGAGCTTTGAGGCCTGTTTTGGAAAAGGAAATATCTTCAAATTAAAACCACACAGAAGCATTCTGAGAAACTTCTTTGTGATGTGTGCATTCAACTCTCAGAGTTGAACGTGTCTTATGATGGAGCAGTTTGGAAACACTCTTTTTGTAGAAACTGCAAGTGGATATGTAGAGCGATTTGAGGCCTACTGTGGAAAAGCAAATATCTTCACATAACAACTACACAGAAGCACTCCTAGAAACTTCTTTGTGATGTGTGAATTCAACTCACAGAGCTGAACCTATCTTTTGATGGAGTAGCTTAGAATCTCTCTTTTTTTAGAATCTGCACGTGGATATTTGGAGCGCTTTGAGACCTAAAGTGGAAAAGCAAATATCTTCACATAAAATCTACATAGAGGCACTCTAAGAAACTTCTTTTTGATGTGTGCATTCAACTCACAGAGCGGAAGCACACAGTGCTTGAGTGACCAGTTTTGAATCTCTCTTTTTGTACAATCTGCAAGTGGATATTGGGAGCCCTTTGCGGCCTGTGGTGGAAAAGGAAATATCTTCAAATAAAAACTACACAGAAGCATTCTGAGAAACTTCTTTGTGATGTGTACATTCATCTCACAGAGTTGACAATTTCTTTTGATTGAGCAGTTTTGAAACACTGCTTTTGTAGAGTCTGGAAGTTGATATTTGGGAGGGCTTTGAGGTCTATTTCGGAAAAGAAAATATCTTCACTTAAAAACTAGGCAGAAGCCTTCTGAGAAACATCTTTGTGAGGTTTACATTCAACTCACAGAGCTGGACCTATCTCTTGAGTGACCAGTTTTGAATCTCTCTTTTTGTTCAATCTGCAAGTGGATATTTGGAGCGATTTGAGGCCTACATTTGAAAATCAAATATCTTCCCTTCAAAGCTACACAGAAACATTCTCAGCAAATTGTTTGTCATGTGGGCTTTCAAATTACCAAGTTGAACCTATCTTGTGATTGAGCAGTTCTGAATCTCTCTTTTTGTGGAATCTGCAAATGGATATTTTTAGCCCTTTGCGGACTGTGGTGGAAAAGGAATTATCTTCAAATCCATTCTACACAGAAGCATTCAGACAAACTTCTTGGTGATGAGTGCATTGGTCACACAGAATTGAACCTCTCCTTTGATTGAGCAATTCTGAAACACTCTTTCAGAGGGTCTGCAAGTGGATATTTTAGAGCTTTGGGACAATTGTGGAAAAGTAAATATCTTCACATAGAAACTACACGGAAGCATTCTGAGAAACTTCTTTGGAGGTGTGCATTCAACTCACAGAGTTGAACCTATCTTTTCATTGAGCAGTTTTGAATCTCTCTTTTTGTAGACTCTGCTTGCAGATATTTGGAGAGCTTTGAGGCCTATTGTGGAAAAGGGAATATGTTCACATAAAAACACACAGAAGCACTCTGAGAAACTTCTTTGTGAGGTGTGCATTCAACTCACAGAGTTGAACCTATCTTTTGATGGAGAAGTCTTGAATCTCTCTTTTTGTAGAAGCTGCATGTGGATATTTGGAGACGTTTGTGGCCTATGGTAGAAAAGGATATATCTTCAAATAAAAACTAGACAGAAGCATTTTGAGAAAATTCTCTGTGCTGTGTGCATTCATATCACATGGTTGAAACTACCTTTTGATTGAGCAGTTTCGAGTCTCTCTGTTTGTACCATCTGCAATGGATATTTGGAGCCCTTTGTGGTCTGTGGTGGAAAAGGAACTATCCTCAAATAAAAACTACACGGAAGTATTCTGAGAAACTTCTTTGTGATGTGTGCATTTATCTCACAGAGTTGAACCTTTGGTTTGATTGAGCAGTTTTGAGATAATCTTTCCATAGAATCTGGAAGTGAATACTTGGATAACTTTGAGATCTATTTTGGAGAAGGAGATATCTTTATATAAAAACTGCACAGAAGCATTCTGAGAAACATCTTTGTGAGGTGTGCAATGAAGTCACAGAGTTGAAACTATCTTTTGATTCAGCAGTTTTGAGTCTCTCTTTTTGCAGAATCTGCGAGTGGATATCTGGAGAAGGTTGAGGCCTACTTGGAAAAGGAAATATCTTCACATAAAAACTACGCAGAAGCATTTTGAGATACTTCTTTGTGAGGTGTGCATTCAACTCACAGAGTTGAACTTATCTTTCCATGGAGCACTTTCATATCTCTTTTTTTGTGGAATCTGCAAGTGGATATTTGGAGCTCTTTGCACCCTGTGGTGGAAAGGGAAATATCTTCATATAAAAACTACAAAGAAGCATTCAGAGAAACTTCTTTGTGATGAATGCATTCCTCACACAGAGTTGAGCCTTTCTTTTTATTGAGCAGTATTGAAACGCTCTTTTTGCAGAATCACCAAGTGGATATTTGGAGAGCTTTGGGGCCTGATTTGGAAAATGAAATATCTTCAAAGTAAAACTACACAGAACCATTCTGAGAAACTTCTTCATGATGTGAGCATTCAACTCTCAGAGTTGAAGCTACCTTATGATTGAGCAATTTGGAAACACTCTTTTTGTAGAGCCTGCAAGTGGATATTTAGAACGATTTGAGGCCTATTGTGGAAAAGCAAATATCTTCACATAAAAACTACACAGAAGCATTCTCAGAGACTTCTTTGGGATGTGTGCATTCAACTAACAGTGTTGAACCTATCTTTTGATTGAGCAGCTTAGAATCTCTCCTTTTGTAGAAAATGCAAGTAGAGATTTGGAGCCCCATTTCGCCCTATGGTAGAAAACAGAACATCTTCACATAAAAACTACGCAGAAGCATTCTGAGAAACTTCTTTGTGATGTTTGCATTGAACTCCCAGAGTCGAACCTATCTTTTGATAGAGCAGTTTTGTATCTCTCTTTTTGCAGAATCTGCAAGTGGATATTTGGAAAGCTTGAGGCCTATTGTGAAAAAGGAAATATCTTCACATAGAAACTACAGAGAAGCATTCTGAGAAACTTCTCTGTGAGGCATGGATTCAACCCACAGAGTTGGACTTATCATTGAGCAGTTTTGAATCTCTCTTTTGGTCGAATCTGCAAGTGGATATTTGGAGCCCTTTTGCAACCTATGGTGGAAAAGGAAACACCTTCACATAAAAACTATATAGAAGCATTCCGAAAAACTTCTTTGTGATGTGTGCATTCATCTCACAGAGTTGAACCTATCTAATGATTGAGCAGTTTTGAAACACTCATTTTGTAGAACCTGGAAGTGGATATTGGGAGTAGTTTGTGGCCTTCTTTGGAAAAGGAAATATCTTCACATGAAAACTACAAAGAAGCATTCTGAGAAACTTCTTTGTGATGTGTGCATGCATCTCACAGTGTTGGACGTTTCTTTTGATGGGGCAGTTTCGAAAGAGTCTTCTTGTAGAGTCTGCAAGTGGATATTTGGAGCGCTTTGAGGCCTAATGTGGAAAAATCAAATATCTTCACATAAAAACTACACCAGAGGCATTCTGAGAAACTTCTTTTTTGTGTGTGCATTCAACTCACATAGTTGAAGTTATCTTTCGATTTAGCTGTTTTGAATCTCCTTTTTGCAGAATCTGCAAGTTGATACATGGAGCCCTGTTTCACCCTATAGTGGAAAAGCAAATATCTTCACATAAACAAACACTACAGAGAAGCATTCAGAGAAAGTCCTTTGTGATGTGTGCATTGAACACGCAGAGTTGAAACTATCTTTTGATTGTACAGTTTTGAATATCTCTTTTTGTAGAATCTGCAAGTGGAAGTTTGGAGCTGTTTGCACGCTGTGGTGCAAAAGGAAATATCTTCATATAAAAACTACACAGAAGCTTTCAGAGAGACTTCTTTGTGAGGAATGCGTTCCTCACACAGAGTTGAATCTACCTTTTTATTGAGTAGTTTTGAAACCCTCTTTTTGCAGAATAACCAGGGGGATATTTGGAGAGCTTTGAGGCCTGTTTTGGAAAAGGAAATATCTTCAAATTAAAACCACACAGACGCATTCTGAGAAACTTCTTTGTGATGTGTGCATTCAACTCTCAGAGTTGAACGTGTCTTATGATGGAGCAGTTTGGAAACACTCTTTTTGTAGAAACTGCAAGTGGATATGTAGAGCGATTTGAGGCCTACTGTGCAAAAGCAAATATCTTCACATAACAACTACACAGAAGCACTCCTAGAAACTTCTTTGTGATGTGTGAATTCAACTCACAGAGCTGAACCTATCTTTTGATGGAGTAGCTTAGAATGTCTCTTTTTTTAGAATCTGCACGTGGATATTTGGAGCGCTTTGAGACCTAAAGTGGAAAAGCAAATATCTTCACATAAAATCTACATAGAGGCACTCTAAGAAACTTCTTTTTGATGTGTGCATTCAACTCACAGAGCGGAAGCACACAGTGCTTGAGTGACCAGTTTTGAATCTCTCTTTTTGTACAATCTGCAAGTGGATATTGGGAGCCCTTTGCGGCCTGTGGTGGAAAAGGAAATATCTTCAAATAAAAACTACACAGAAGCATTCTGAGAAACTTCTTTGTGATGTGTACATTCATCTCACAGAGTTGACAATTTCTTTTGATTGAGCAGTTTTGAAACACTGCTTTTGTAGAGTCTGGAAGTTGATATTTGGAGGGCTTTGAGGTCTATTTCGGAAAAGAAAATATCTTCACTTAAAAACTAGGCAGAAATACTGTGAGAAACTTCTTTGTTATGTGAGCATTCAACTCACAGAGCTGAACCTATCTTTTGATTGAGCAGTTTTGAATCTCTCATTTTGCAGAATCTGCAAGGGGATATTTGGAGCCCTTTGCTACCTAGGGTGGAAAAGGAAATACCTCCAAATAAAAACTACACAGAGGCATTCTGAGAAACTTCTTGTGATTGTGCATTCAACTCACAGAGTTAAACCTATCTTATGATTGACCAGTTTTGGAACACTGTTTTCACAGGATCTGCAAGTGGATATTTGGTGTGCTTTGAGGCCTATCGTGGAAAAGCAAGTAACTTCAGATAAAAACTATACAGAAGCATTCTGAGAAACTTCTTTGTGATGTGTGCATTGATCTCACAGAGTTGAAAGTGTATTTTGATTGAGCAGTTTTAAAACACTCCTTCTGTAGAATCTGCAAGTGGATAATTGGAGAGATTTGAGGTATGTTGTGGAAAAGCAAATATCTTCATATAAAAACTATACAGAAGCCTTCTGAGAAACATCTTTGTGAGGTTTGCATTCAACTCACAGAGCTGGACCTATCTCTTGAGTGACCAGTTTTGAATCTCTCTTTTTGTTCAATCTGCAAGTGGATATTTGGAGCGATTTGAGGCCTACATTTGAAAATCAAATATCTTCCCTTAAAAACTACACAGAAACATTCTCAGAAATTGTTTGTCATGTGGGCTTTCAAATTACCAAGTTGAACCTATCTTGTGATTGAGCAGTTCTGAATCTCTCTTTTTGTGGAATCTGCAAATGGATGTTTTTAGCCCTTTGCGGACTGTGGTGGAAAAGGAATTATCTTCAAATCCATTCTACACAGAAGCATTCAGACAAACTTCTTGGTGATGAGTGCATTGGTCACACAGAATTGAACCTCTCCTTTGATTGAGCAATTCTGAAACACTCTTTCAGAGGGTCTGCAAGTGGATATTTTAGAGCTTTGGGACAATTGTGGAAAAGTAAATATCTTCACATAGAAACTACACGGAAGCATTCTGAGAAACTTCTTTGGAGGTGTGCATTCAACTCACAGAGTTGAACCTATCTTTTCATTGAGCAGTTTTGAATCTCTCTTTTTGTAGACTCTGCTTGCAGATATTTGGAGAGCTTTGAGGCCTATTGTGGAAAAGGGAATATGTTCACATAAAAACACACAGAAGCACTCTGAGAAACTTCTTTGTGAGGTGTGCATTCAACTCACAGAGTTGAACCTATCTTTTGATGGAGAAGTTTTGAATCTCTCTTTTTGTAGAAGCTGCATGTGGATATTTGGAGACGTTTGTGGCCTATGGTAGAAAAGGATATATCTTCAAATAAAAACTAGACAGAAGCATTTTGAGAAAATTCTCTGTGCTGTGTGCATTCATATCACATGGTTGAAACTACCTTTTGATTGAGCAGTTTCGAGTCTCTCTGTTTGTACCATCTGCAATGGATATTTGGAGCCCTTTGTGGTCCTGTGGTGGAAAAGGAACTATCCTCAAATAAAAACTACACGGAAAGTATTCTGAGAAACTTCTTTGTGATGTGTGCATTTATCTCACAGAGTTGAACCTTTGGTTTGATTGAGCAGTTTTGAGATAATCTTTCCATAGAATCTGGAAGTGAATACTTGGATAACTTTGAGATCTATTTTGGAGAAGGAGATATCTTTATATAAAAACTGCACAGAAGCATTCTGAGAAACATCTTTGTGAGGTGTGCAATGAAGTCACAGAGTTGAAACTATGTTTTGATTCAGCAGTTTTGAGTCTCTCTTTTTGCAGAATCTGCGAGTGGATATCTGGAGAACTTGGAGGCCTATTTGGAAAAGGAAATATCTTCACATATAAACTATGCAGAAGCATTTTGAGATTCTTCTTTGTGAGGTGTGCATGCAACTCACAGAGTTGAACTTATCTTTTCCTTGAGCACTTTCGTATCTCATTTTCTGTAGAATCTGCAAGTGGATATTTGGAGCTCTTTGCACCCTGTGGTGGAAAGGGAACTATCTTCATATAAAAACTACAAAGAAGCATTCAGAGAAACTTCTTTGTGATGAATGCATTCCTCACACAGAGCTGAACGTTTCTTTTTATTGAGCAGTATTGAAACGCTCTTTTTGCAGAATCACCAAGTGGATATTTGGAGAGCTTTGGGGCCTGTTTTGGAAAATGAAATATCTTCAAAGTAAAACTACACAGAACCATTCTGAGAAACTTCTTTATGATGTGTGCATTCAACTCTCAGAGTTGAACCTACCTTATGACTGACCAATTTGGAAACACTCTTTTTGTAGAGCCTGCAAGTGGATATTTAGAACGATTTGAGGCCTATTGTGGAAAAGCAAATATCTTCACATAAAAACTACACAGAAGCATTCTGAGAAACTTCTTTGGCATGTGTGCATTCAACTAACAGTGTTGAACGTATCTTTTGATTGAGCAGCTTAGAATCTCTCTTTTTGTAGAAAATGCAAGTAGAGATTTGGAGCCCCATTTTGCCCTATGGTAGAAAACAGAACATCTTCACATAAAAACTACACAGAAGCATTCTGAGAAACTTCTTTGTGATGTTTGCATTGAACTCCCAGAGTCGAACCTATCTTTTGATAGAGCACTTTTGTATCTCTCTTTTTGCGGAATCTGCAAGTGGATATTTGGAAAGCTTGAGACCTATTGTGAAAAAGGAAATATCTTCACATAAAAACTACAGAGAAGCATTCTGAGAAACTTCTTTGTGAGGCATGGATTCAACCCACAGAGTTGGACTTATCATTGAGCAGTTTTGAATCTCTCTTTTTGTCGAATCTGCAAGTGGATATTTGGAGCCCTTTGCAACCTAGGGTGGAAAAGGAAATACCTTCAAATAAAAACTATATAGAAGCATTCCGTAAAACTTCTTTGTGACGTGTGCATTCGTCTCACAGAGTTGAACCTATCTAATGATTGAGCGGTTTTGAAACACTCATTTTGTAGAACCTGCAAGTGGATATTGGGAGTACTTTGTGGCCTTCTTTGGAAAAGGGAATATCTTCACATAAAAATTACAAAGAAGCATTCTGAGAAACTTCTTTGTGATGTGTGCATTCATCTCACAGTGTTGGACGTTTCTTTTGATAGGGCAGTTTTGAAACACTCTTTTTCTAGAATCTGCAAGTGGATATTTAGAGCGCTTTGAGGCCTAATGTGGAAAATCAAATATCTTCACATAAAAACTACACAGAGGCATTCTGAGAAACTTCTTTTTTGTGTGTGCATTCAACTCACATAGTTGAAGTAATCTTTGGATTTAGCTGTTTTGAATCTCCTTTTTGCAGAATCTGCAAGTTGATACTTGGAGCCCTGTTTCACCCTATAGTGGAAAAGCAAATATCTTCACATAAACAAACCCTACAGAGAAGCATTCAGAGAAAGTCCTTTGTGATGTGTGCATTGAACATGCAGAGTTGACACTATCTTTTGATTGTACAGTTTTGAATACGTCTTTTTGTAGAATCTGCAAGTGGAAGTTTGGAGCTGTTTGCACCCTGTGGTGTAAAAGGAAATATCTTCATATAAAAGCTACACAGAAGCATTCAGAAAGACTTCTTTGTGATGAATGCGTTCCTCACACAGAGTTGAATCTTCCTTTTTATTGAGTAGTATTGAAACCCTCTTTTTGCAGAATAACCAGGTGGATATTCGGAGAGCTTTGAGGCCTGTTTTGGAAAAGGAAATATCTTCAAATTAAAACCACACAGAAGCATTCTGAGAAGCTTCTTTGTGATGTGTGCATTCAACTCTCAGAGTTCAACGTGTCTTATGATGGAGCAGTTTGGAAACACTCTTTTTTGTAGAAACTGCAAGTGGATATGTAGAGCGATTTGAGGCCTACTGTGGAAAAGCAAATATCTTCACATAACAACTACACAGAAGCACTCCTAGAAACTTCTTTGTGATGTGTGAATTCAACTCACAGAGCTGAACCTATCTTTTGATGGAGTAGCTTAGAATGTCTCTTTTTTTAGAATCTGCACGTGGATATTTGGAGCGCTTTGAGACCTAAAGTGGAAAAGCAAATATCTTCACATAAAATCTACATAGAGGCACTCTAAGAAACTTCTTTTTGATGTGTGCATTCAACTCACAGAGCGGAAGCACACAGTGCTTGAGTGACCAGTTTTGAATCTCTCTTTTTGTACAATCTGCAAGTGGATATTGGGAGCCCTTTGCGGCCTGTGGTGGAAAAGGAAATATCTTCAAATAAAAACTACACAGAAGCATTCTGAGAAACTTCTTTGTGATGTGTACATTCATCTCACAGAGTTGACAATTTCTTTTGATTGAGCAGTTTTGAAACACTGCTTTTGTAGAGTCTGGAAGTTGATATTTGGAGGGCTTTGAGGTCTATTTCGGAAAAGAAAATATCTTCACTTAAAAACTAGGCAGAAATACTGTGAGAAACTTCTTTGTTATGTGAGCATTCAACTCACAGAGCTGAACCTATCTTTTGATTGAGCAGTTTTGAATCTCTCATTTTGCAGAATCTGCAAGGGGATATTTGGAGCCCTTTGCTACCTAGGGTGGAAAAGGAAATACCTCCAAATAAAAACTACACAGAGGCATTCTGAGAAACTTCTTGTGATTGTGCATTCAACTCACAGAGTTAAACCTATCTTATGATTGACCAGTTTTGGAACACTGTTTTCACAGGATCTGCAAGTGGATATTTGGTGTGCTTTGAGGCCTATCGTGGAAAAACAAGTAACTTCAGATAAAAACTATACAGAAGCATTCTGAGAAACTTCTTTGTGATGTGTGCATTGATCTCACAGAGTTGAAAGTGTATTTTGATTGAGCAGTTTTGAAACACTCTTTTTGTAGAATCTGCAAGTGGATAATTGGGGAGATTTGAGGTATATTGTGGAAAAGCAAGTATCTTCATATAAAAACTATACAGAAGCTTTCTGAGAAACATCTTTGTGAGGTTTGCATTCAACTCACAGAGCTGGAACTATCTTTTGAGTGACCAGTTTTGAATCTCTCTTTTTGTACAATCTGCAAGTGGATATTTGGAGCGTTTTGAGGCCTACATTTGAAAATCAAATATCTTCCCTTAAAAGCTACACAGAAACATTCTCAGAAATTGTTTGTCATGTGTGCTTTCAAATTACCAAGTTGAACCTACCTTGTGATTGAGCAGTTTTGAATCTCTCTTTTTGTGGAATCTGCAAGTGGATATTTTTAGCCATTTGCGGACTGTGGTGGAAAAGGAATTATCTTCAAATCCATTCTACACAGAAGCATTCAGACAAACTTTTTGTGATGAGTGCATTGGTCACACAGAATTGAACCTCTCCTTTGATTGAGCAATTCTGAAACACTCTTTCAGAGGGTCTGCAAGTGGATATTTTAGAGCTTTGGGACAATTGTGGAAAAGTAAATATCTTCACATAGAAACTACACGGAAGCATTCTGAGAAACTTCTTTGGAGGTGTGCATTCAACTCACAGAGTTGAACCTATCTTTTCATTGAGCAGTTTTGAATCTCTCTTTTTGTAGACTCTGCTTGCAGATACTTGGAGAGCTTTGAGGCCTATTGTGGAAAAGGAATCATCTTCACATAAAAACACACAGAAGCACTCTGAGAAACTTCTTTGTGAAGTGTGCATTCAACTCACAGAGTTGAACCTATCTTTTGATTGAGAAGCTTTGAATCTCTCTTTTTGTAGAAGCTGCATGTGGATATTTGGAGACGTTTGTGGCCTATGGTAGAAAAGGCAATATCTTCAAATAAAAACTAGACAGAAGCATTTTGAGAAAATTCTCTGTGCTGTGTGCATTCATATCACATGGTTGAAACTACCTTTTGATTGAGCAGTTTCGAGTCTCTCTGTTTGTACCATCTGCAATGGATATTTGGAGCCCTTTGTGGTCTGTGGTGGAAAAGGAACTATCCTCAAATAAAAACTACACGGGAAGTATTCCGAGAAACTTCCTTGTGATGTGTGCATTCATCTCACAGGGTTGAACCTTTGGTTTGATTGAGCAGTTTTGAGACAATCTTTCCATAGAATCTGGAAGTGAATATTTGGAGAACCTTGAGATCTATTTTGGAGAAGGAGATATCTTTATATGAAAACTGCACAGAAGCATTCTGAGAA